>NC_000007.14:48119029-48422060 GCF_000001405.40 Homo sapiens | reverse complement strand
TTTTTGTAAGAAAGACACCAGATTAGGGTTTGGGGCCAACAGAAAGTGGCAGCTGAAGTGGGGCAGGTTCACACAAGACAGCATGTGAGCAGAGCAGCAAAGCAGTGTGGAGGCCTTGGAAGATGAGCTGCACACAGGAGGACTAAGGGAAAAGGTAGCATAAGAATGAGTAAGTCGAGTTTCTCATTATCAGTGAAGGGCGGTACAAATAAGGCAAGAGGAAACACTAAATGAATGCTGTGTAATTGGATTGGAATTAGAGATGTGGAGTTGAACTCCTAGTTTTGTATTTATAGGCAGAAAGAGAAGCAAAAATAGAGGTGGATCTTTTACTTTATCCATGAGGGAACCTCAGAGCAGCAACACCCCAATCACCATGAGCGTATTGAGCAGCCAGGATTTCTTGGAGAAATGGCTGATTCTAGAGCCAGGGCTGGGAAAGAATGGCAATCCTAGAACATCTTGTTTTGTCAGGAAGCAGGAAAATGCTCAAAGAATGGGAGGCATGAGTTAAAAGGCACAAAAACCAGCTTGAAGGACCTCCCACTGGCTCAACTTGGTATGACATGAGCCTCAAAGTAAATAATGACCCTACTGAATTGTAACTCATTGAGTAGAATAGAATGCTATGAGTGGTTCCTTATATAAATAGGTCAATGGGGTAAAGAGAGAGTTCTTTCTTACTGGACAATGCCAACTAAAACACATGGAAGGAATGATGGAATTAGAAAAATCGCCACTTGGCAAGTGCCATAGTAATAATTTTTAATTCTGGCAAGGAACATCAGAAGATGCAAAAACAGGTGGGTAAGAAAAGTGGAATTTACAGATTCTCAAAATATATCCTCAAAAAAAAAAAGAGAGAGAAAAGGAAATTAACTTAAGAGTGGGAAAGCCTGGCAGACACCACTTTCCACTTTACCTGGGAAAAAAGATCACCTCACTAGCCATGGGACAGATCAGCCTTGTGTAGCAGGCAGCCAGGAGCAGTGGGACACAGCATCACCCCTGGAATATGCCAACTAAAAATGCATAACCTGACCAATCACAGCAAAATAGGGCAAACCCATATTGAGGCTCATTGTGCAAAATACGTGGTCTGGACTCTTCAAAAATATTGAGGTCATGAAAGTCAAGGAAACTGAGGAATTCTTGCAGATTGACAGTGACTAAAGAGGCCTGCAACTGAGTGCAGCTCGTGATCCTGGACTGGATCCTTTTGCTCTTAGGGACATGAGGGGCACAATTGAAACTTAAATGGGCAAAGATTTTACAGCAATTCTTTTTTCTTAAAAATTGTTCTAAAAAAAAGTCAAAAAAAAAAAAAAAGATCAAGCCCTACATCTGAGGCCCAGGCTTTACCTCTTAATGCTGTGTAGGATGGGGCAGCTGAGTTCATGCACCCAAGGAACTAGCATCCAGAACCTCCTTGGCAAAGGTACAAAGGGAACCCACTAATCAGTATTTAGCAAGCTGGAAGGAAAGAAACTTCACATCTCAGGCAGGCTCACCAGCATTTCTAAAACATTACTAAAAACTTCAAAACTATTAAAAAATACACTGCAAAAATTTACTCTGTTTGCATTATGCCAGAAAGTTTTGTCTTGGCTTCAGAGATTGCCGAAAATATATTCCATATGCAAAGCCAAGTCTTCTAACTCTCTATGGTCCCATCCCACACAAAGTAAACATTGTAACTTGCCAGGATTGTCCTTAGGTCCAAGCATTGGAGTAGAAAGTACAGATGCCTTAATGAAACTGGTGACTATCATGATTTCATTTTAAATCTTAATTTCACTAGCTTGTAGGTAAAGTTGGAGATCATAATTTATAGTAAGTGTATTCCAGTTTAGAAATAAAATATGCTTTTTAGCTGAAGAGCTCAACTGGAGAGTTAATTGGCAGGTCCTCCTCACTCCTGTAAAGTCATCAGGCAAAATGCAGATGAAGGAAGAGAAAAGCACCCTCAGCGCTACAACAGCCATGCTAACTGTGTATCAGACATAAGAAAGGAAAGTCAATGCTCGCCAAGTGTCAAGAGACAAAATTGGTTGAGACAGACATTTTATAGCCTCTACCAAACAAAAGAAGGTTCTCCAAAAGCCCCAATCTTTTTCCAATTTAAGATACCTTTCTCAAACGGCTCTAAATATACCATTTATATTTTGTTAGATCTCATATACATTGTATATATATTCCAGATTCTTTGCCCATGGTTGCCCTTAGAGAGATAATTTCTTTCTTAGCGTCCGTGTGTGTGAGAGATGTGGAAAAAGAGAGATACGTAAAATCTAGTAAATCAATATTTATTTAAGACCTATTATGTGCAAAGCACATACTAAATGTAGAAAGTAGAAATTACTGTAAGAAATTGAAGAAACATGTACTACATCTCCAAAGTAATTGAACAACTTGTTCTGTTGCTCCTCACTGACTAATGAGGAGTTCTTGCTGTTCTGGGGTGACTAACAGCAAGAACATGAATCCTGGATTTAAAAAATTGCAGAGGCATGTTACGTGGAAGAATTACTCTTTTCAGAAGGTGGTGGGGATGAAACTCCTCTGTACTTTGATTGGAGTGGTGGTTCTACAACTCTATACATTTGTCAAACTCATAGTGAATTTTACTGTAGGAATTTTACATATGAAGTACATAAATATAAATTTTTTAAGAAAAGAGGGCAAAGAGGAGGAAGACTGAGAAATTTCCAAAAGGAATATGAATGGGTAAAGTACAAATACAAATATTTTGTAAAAGAAAGGTGACTACTAAACAGAAACAGAGATATTTAAGGAATATAGCATAATATGGTTTGGATCTGTGTCGTCACCCAAATCTCATGTCAAATTGCAATCCCTAATGTCCAAGGTAGGGCCTGGTGGGAGGTGACTGGATCATGGGGGTGGAGTTTTCATGAATGGTTTAGCCCCATCCCCCTTTGGTAGTGTATAGCGAGTGAGTGAGTTCTTGTGAGATCTGGTTGTTTAAAAGTGTGTGACACCTCCCCACTCTCTCTTGGTCCTGCTCCTGCCACATAAGATGCCTGCTCCCTCTTTGCCTTCCACCTTCCATCCCCAGAAGCAGATGCTGCTATGTTTCCTGTACAGCCTGCAGAACCTTGAGCCAATTAAACCTCTTTTCTTTATAAATTACCCAGTCTCAGGTATTTCTTTACAGCAATGTGAGAATGGACTAATACATAACATAAAAAGAATTTTTAGAAGTTATTCTATAATGCAAGGTATTCTGTAACATTAAAATATAGACAGATTAAAATATAACAGTGTCTAATCTGAAAATACACCACTGCATATGTGTTTTGGATATAAATAGTAGAAAAAATATTGATAATTCCTCATATTTATGCCACAATCCAGCAATATGTAACCTGCACTCAGTTTAATTATATGATTTGACCTAAACAAAAACTGTGTGTGGAAGATAGGGAAGATAAACCTACCGTAGGGATGAGAAAAATGAAGTTAACAAAGAGCTCTTAAAACTCAACAATAAGAAAGCAAACAGCCCAATTTTTAAAAAGTGGGCCAGAGACCTAAACAGACACCTCATTAAAGAATATATTCAAATGGCAAATAAGAATATGAAAAGTTGCTCCACATCATATGTCATCAGGAAAATGCAAATTAAGGCAGCAGTGAGATACCTCTACACACCTATTAGAATGGCTAAAATCCAGAGCTCTAACAGCACCAAATGTTGGCAAGAATATGGAACAACAGAAACTCCCATTCATTGCTGGTGGAAACACAAAATGGTGCAGGTACTTTGGATGACAGTTTGGCAGTTTCTTACAAAACTAAAGACACTCTTACTGTAAGATACAGCAGTTGCAGTCTTAGGTATTTACCCAAGTAAGTTGAAAACTTATGTCCACACAAAAATCTGCACACAGATATTTATAGCAGCTTTGTTCATAATTGCTAAAACTTGGAAGCAACCAAGATGTCTTTCAGTAGATGAATAGATAAATAGACTATGGTACATTCAGCCACTGAAATATTATTCAGCGGTACAATGAAATAAGCTATCAAGCCATGAAAAGACACAGAGAAAATTTAAATCCATGTTACTAAGATAAAGAAGCCAAAATGGAAAGGCTACAAGGGTTGTATGATTCCCAACTCTGCAACATTCAGGAAAAGGTAAAACTACGATGACAGTAAAAAGATCAGTGGTTGCTGAGGGCTGGGGCTTCGGGCAGGGAGGAATGGCTAGGCAGAGCACAAGAGATTTTCAGGGCAGTGAAACTGTTCCATATCATACTATAATGGCAGATACATGGAATTATATACTCATCCAAACCCATGGAATGTACAACAGCAAGAGTGAAGCCTAATGGGCTGGATGGTGATGTGTCCATGTCGGTTCATCAATTGTAACAAATGAGCCATTCTGCAGGGATGTTGATAGTGGAGGAGGCTGGGGGCAAGGGAGGCAGAGGGACACAGAATGCACAATTTGTGCATTCTGCTCAATTTTGCTGAGAATCTAAAACTGCTCTTTAAAAGGTTTTTAAAATTAAAATAAATGAATAAATGTGGTTCCAGTCTAAGTGATTTGTCCAGATTGTCCCCGACAGGAAGTGATGAAACATAAATGCAAGTGTCAATGTTCTTGTCCTGATTCCCAGGCCCTTCCCATGGCAACCATGGGTTGAAGAAGATATGGGGCAGCAGGCCAGTTAGGAAATCCTAAATGTGACTAGAAGGCACTGGGTTTCTTTTGAAATGTTGAAAAGATTGAGGCATATGAAAAAAAAGCATCTAGGACACAAATGCATGTCATCATTTGGGGATTCTGTCATTTGACCCCGTCACAGATCTTGAGGGTTATCCCCTGGACCCAGTAATTGCATTTCTAGGAATCAGTCTATGGAAAAGCTGGGGGATCCTGTTCTTCGGACTTGTACAGTCTCAATGGTAAAATCAAAACTTTAGAAACAACCAAAGTGCCTTAAAGCAGGGAGGGGAGGAACTACATAAGGACACATTTTTGTAAAAGAAATTATGTCACCATGAACATCATGACTATGGGAAAAATAAAAACTGTTCAAGATAAATATTGTGAAATGGGTAACTCCTGTTTAAAAAAAAAAAAAGGTATATGCAGTGATGCAGTGAGATTCCAAGACTGGTTTAGAATTCTGAGCATGGAAGGACTGAAGTACAGCAAGCTCTTAACAGGCCCGAGCTCTGTAGGGAAGAGAGTGGGGAAGGGGCAGACATCAGAAGGAGAAGCATGGACATGGGTCTGGGGCAGGTGGGAGGCTGGACCTGGAGGGTGAGGAAGCAAAAGGTGCAGCCTCTAAACCCCAAGACACACCCAGGTTGCAGCTCCAGCCTTGTCCTCTGGGAGCGCCTGCAGGAGGCTTCCCTTGGTCCCGGGGCACTCTCCGACTGGGGATCCTCCCAGGGCATCTCATGCAAGTCCCTATCAAGCAGAACAAATGTCGTCTGTCTGTGTGTCACGCGCTGCACTAGAAGTTTCTTCCCTTCAACCCTATGTTGTGGTTCCTTCCATGATTCCCAACCTACAGGTAAGGGTGCCAAGGTAGGGGAGTCATTCTGCAGTGAGTGCAGTGAGGGAGCACCATGCATGGTCAAGAATGCAAACCACTCCCCGTGGCCCTGCAGGCTCTGTCGAGGCCCAGCTCTCTCAGCACCCCAGGGGGTGCAGAAGGAAACATGGAAATCTCAGTTTCTATTCCTAGGCGGAACCTATCAGACATAAAGAATTCCTCCTATTTAAGACTGATAGGAGCACTGGTGGCCTCTGTGGCCACAGTGACAGTTCTTCAAGTTTCAACAGGTTGCAGCTTTGTAGAGGCCTGTCTAAGTAGATTTTTACATTGATTTATCTAGTTTTTACTAAAATAACACTTATAAAGGAGATAGTGGCTTTAAAAGATTCTGAAGATAATACGAGCAACACAAGCACAGCAAACATGAAACAGCACAGCTGACACTTTCTTACTCCTGTGGGATCTTCATTTTAGTCTCAGATGTGACTAAAAATTCAGACAGACCTGAAAATTAGGGAGGAAAGAAGGATGTAGGCAGGAAGGAGGAAGGGAGGCAAAAAGAGAGAGGTAGGGAAGGAAGGCAGGAAGGAAGGGAATTACTAAAAAGAATACTGAAGTATCTTATTCACATGTGCTATGGTTATGAATAAGCCTCTCCCTAAATGTATGTTTTACCTGGAGATATTATTGATTGGTCATATATGCCACAATAATTAACAAAACAATTAAGAGCTAAGCATCCACCCGTGATATAAAGGCTTTCCTCACCAGTTTTTTTTTCTGTGATATTTAAATTCATAAAATATTGAAGCAAAATGTTCCACAAAATTTCACTCTTCTTAATAATAAAAATTAAAAGTATTACCAAGGATTTCTCTTTTGTTAACAACAAGCAAAATGCCACTTACGTAAAGGGAACACCCACTCTTCCTGTCGCATGTGTTTAATTGCAAATCAGTAAATACATTGGGGGTGAACACTCATTATTTCACTGATAAGTGTGCTTGGTCCATATTCCTACAGCATCTTCCTCCCTGCCCTGAGAGTCCAGTGAGCTTATGAATATGTTCAATTTATCTGTACAAGACACCATACAACTAGTAAACAACCGGATTAACCCGGTGAATGATTAGAGAGACAGACATGAACATAAGAAGTCTGGGCTTTTTTGACAATTTCTCTCGATAACCCCCCAAAAAAATTATTTTATTTTTCTTTTCCAAGTGACCCAGGATGGCAAAACTACCCCTGGAAGCAGCGCCTCCTTCTGTCTGTAGGGAAACTGACTCATGCCAGCTGACAGCTCTCAACTGTCCAAATGATTAGCTTCCAATATAATATTTGGACTTGTTATTCACATTTAAGAAGATAGTGACAACTGTGGTGTCTGACATAGCTGCATTCAAGTATGGTGCTTTAGTTAGCAGCACGTCTGTAAACCTGCATTCTGACTCATGCAATCTGGGGAAAAGGGGCTTAGGAAATTCCTTCTTGTTCTACATTGGCCCAGGGAAGACTGCTGTCTCCCAAAAATTCCTGGAGGAAAGGTGACTTTTGGGGGTATAGATGTTATTTAGCTCCGTGGTCACTCCAAAGCTACGGCAGCAACGTCTCATGCAATCCCACTGTAAGTGAGAAAAGCCATTACCATTTTTGACAGACTTGTTCCAGGCATTTAATCATGATTGTTACTCCTTGGGAAACCAGGCAAACTGTTCTGATTTTTCCATTTTAAAGATCAAAATCTTGGTGCCAGATGCAGTGGCACACACCTATAGTCTCAGCTACTTGGGAGGCTAAGGTGGGAGGATCACTTGAGCCCAGGAGTTCCAGACCAGCCTGAGCAACACAACGAAACCCTGAACATATATATATGTTTTATTAAATATCTATGTATTATTACATGTAATATATGTATATGTATGTATATTATATGTTACATATGTATACATATGTATATTATGTGTAATATATATGTATTATTTTATTAAATAATAAAATATTCATTTTATATTAAAAATATAGCTGGATGAATCTTTGGAAAGGTTCAGCACATTGTTCACTTAGAAAATATTTATTAAGCAACCATGAGTGCCAGTAACTGTCCTGGGCACTGCTGCTATAGAGGTGGGCAGAAAAGATACAAGCACTCACAGATCTCAGCGTCCATGGGAGAGACAGAGAAGCATGCATAACAAGTTGGGAGAAGTGTCACGAAGAAAAGCTTCAGAGTGCAGTGAGGGCGGGTGGGGAGAACACGGAACAGAATTGATGCTGAGGAATCTGGGAATCCGCTGCAGAGGCGCCGTTCATGTCAAGACTTGAAGAATGAAAATAGGAGACAGCCAGACAAGAAAAGATGTAGTGACCGCATCCTTTGGCTTTAGAAAACAGCTCCTATTCATCATGTGTGTTTATTAGGCTGCTTTTTGTTTGTCTCTTGCACTGTAACTTGCTCTATTAAAACGCAGTGGGAATGGATGGACTCCAGTCCTGATGATGCATGGAATACAGAGCATCAACCACAAAGGTATGGGCTAATTTAGAGAACTTGACTAACTATCAGAAACCCTAGGTCTAAGTAGAGCTCACCATTTACGACCTTCGTGATTTGGGGTAAAGAAATTGGCCTATGTGAGCCTCAGCTTACTCAACCTTAAAATAGGAATAATAAGTTACGGAGTTTCAGGGGAACCAAATACATTCTATGTATAAAAGCATTTTGTAATATTTTTTATGTTTCACAATCTTTTATGACTATTTATTCCAGACAAAACTTGTGATGGAGGCTATCTACTTGGGACCACACTGATTTATCACACAAAAGATTGCCTTTCCTCCTGCATCACTAACCCAAGGAATCAATTCCAAAACACAACTGAATGTTCAGACTTTGACTTTTGCAGATTTTTAAAAATTTTAACTTGCAGCACTTGATTTTTTGAAAACCCGTGACATTTTATATAAATAATAGCAATGTAAAATTAGGGCTCAAATACTGCCCACACAGAGAGCCAACCTCAAGAACCCCAAACAAGGCATGCCTCAGGTTGGGTCACACAACGTAGCAATGTCCTCCTGGAGGAAACGCCTATTTCTGCCTGTTGTTAAGTGTACTCTATGAAGAACCCACATGGAGTGGTCTCATCCACCTCAGATCCAGGTAGAGAAAAGTGGGACCTGGGGGATGGGAGCTCACCAGGCGTCTGCAGTGTTCCCGTGCTAAACCCTCTCACATCACGGATACCCAGCATGGGGCCAGAGACTCCCAGACAGAAGCAGAAAGAGGAGGGCATCTCTACATGAAGAATTACAACCAGCAATCAACCACTACTGACAACTGTTTAAACACCTCATGATTCTGAATTAAAGACACCAAGCTTCTCAAATACAAGAATGCTAAAAGAGGCCGGGTGCATGGGCTCACACCTGTAATCCCAGCACTTTGGGAGGCTGAGGCGGGCGGATCATGAGGTCAGGGGATCGAGACCATCCTGGCTAACATGGTGAAACCCCATCTCTACTAAAAATACAAAAAATTAGCCAGGCGTGGTGGCGGGCGCCTGTATTCCCAGCTACTCAGGAGGCTGAGGCAGGAGACTGGCGTGAACCCGGGAGGCAGAGCTTGCAGTGAGCCGAGATAGCGCCACTGCACTCCAGCCTGCACTACGTCTCAAAAACAAAAACAAAACAAAACAAAAAAAAAGAATGCTAAAAGAATGCCATTTCACTTAAAGGGCAATTGCCACCTGTCAGGCCTGTTAAGTTCAGTTATTGGCATCTAGTATGCTACCAATCAGAAATCAAATGTAAATAAAAGTGCACACTCCTCCCCCTTACCCACATCTCCCCCCCTTTACCCACATCTCTTCATTTAATGTGGACTGGTCAAAAAGGCATAAATAATTAAAGCACGCTTCAGTTTTCTCAGTACCTCTTCTAAGGTGGTGTCTGAGATCCCATAGCCCGTCAGGTGCAGCTGATGCAGGTTCTCATCCAGGGCCTGGAAGAGCCCTTTCAAGCAGGCCTTGTCTGTGTCCTTTGGAATGGTGTAGGTCAGCTCACTTCCACTGCTGTCTTTGAGAAATGCTTGTGGAATATAGATCTTTATCAGGGATGTAACACAAGCCATGTCTTTCAGATCATGGGCCTCCAGAACAGAAGGCTATCCATAAAAAAAAGGAAAAAAGAAGCCAGTAAGGAATGTTAATCCATATATACATCAATTGATTTCATGTATATCCATAAGCAAATTATTTCAAAACTCCATTTCAAAGCTTAAATGAAATATCACACTTAAGCAATAGGCATCTCAATGACATCTCGTATTTTTTTCTTTCTTTTTAAAAAATATAAATCTGCAGTGATAAACCTTGTGAGGCCACACCCACATGCCCCCCAACATGCCCGTCTTAGCTACTGGGCCTGCCATGGCCAGCCTCCAGAGGTTTGTATTCATGAAGTGCCCCCCGTCCACTGGGAGAGTCACAGAGAGATCCTGGGCCTAGCATTGAACAGCAGAAAACTGGGTTGAAGGAGTCTTAAAAGGGAGACAAGAATTCTCAGCCAAAGAAGAAAGGAGCCACCTGGGGATAATGACATTCACGCTGAATGAGAGAGGAAGCAAACAGGAACCTTGGCTCAGAGGTGAGGGAAGACTTTTCGTGGGCCACCAAGGGTCAAATACAGTCATCAAGAGTGGAGAGGTGATTTCCCACACACCCTGAATCCCAGCCCCAGAGTCACCACTTCCTGCCCCCGGTTGACACAGGCAATGATGACTACAGATGTGACCCAAGTTCAGCCTCTCGGGCCAGACTCCACTTGCTCTATACCCTCACTACTCTCTTGTATTCTGGCAAAGTTTTAGCCTCTAGGAGGGTAATATCGTTGTCAAAAAAATATTTCTAGGCTGGGCATGGTGGCTTACGCCTGTAATCCCAACACTTTGGGAGGCCGAGGTTGGTGGATCACCTGAGGTCAGGAGTTCAAGACCAGCCTGGCCAACATGGTAAAACCCCATCTTTACTAAAAACACAAAAATTAGCTGGGCCTGGTGGCATGTGTCTGTAGTCCCAGCTACTCGGGAGGCTGAGGCAGGAGAATTGCTTGAACCTGGAACGGGAGGTTGCAGTGAACAGAGGTTGTACCACTGCACTCCAGCCTGGGCAACAGAGCAAGACTCCATTGAAAGAAAAGAAAAGAAAAGAAAAGAAAAGAAAAGAAGGAAGGAAGGAGGAGGGAGGGAGGAAAGGAAGGAAAGAGAAACAGAAAGAGAAAGAAAGAAAGAGAAAGAGAAGGGAAGGGGAGAAAGAAAAGAAAAGGAAAGAAAGAGAAAGAAAGAAAGAAAGAGAAGGGAAGGGGAGAAAGAAAAGGAAAGGAAAGGAAAGGAAAGGAGAGAAAGAAAAAGAAAAGGAAAGGAAAGGAAAGGAGAGAAAGAAAGAAAAAGAAAGAAAGAAAGAAAGAAAAAGAAAGAAAGAAAGAAAGAAAGAAAGAAAGAAAGAAAGAAAGAAAGAAAGAAAGAAAGAAAGAAAGAAAGAGAAAAGAATTTCTAGAATACATAGGTCATATACTTCCTGGCCCTGACACTCACAGCAGCTCCTGTTATCTATCAGGTAATTCTGACTCCTCATGTATTTTCTCCTGGCGGTCAAAATGCATGCTTGGGTTCCCAGAGGCTTGCTCCCTGCACAGGCCTGGGGCCACTTATTTTGGCATGTGGGCCATTGTGCACAGAAGGCCTCCACTGAGACGTTATTACTATGTAACTGTCACCACTTGTTTCTTATGCCACAGACAGAAATGGGACTTCAGTGAGATAGAATGGTTGCACTCCTTACCTGCCTCGTGAGTGTCAGGCGGAGCCCCTGGCCATATGCCTCCTTCAGGCAGAAGGGAGGACCGCAGCACCTGAGCCTCCCATGCTGGAGGACGGCCACGCGGTCACTCAGCGCTTCAGCTTCATCCAGGTGGTGGGTTGTGAAGATGATCGTACGACCTGGGTCCAAGCACAGGGTGCATCAGCACCAGGAGGACAAAGGCCCCAGGAGGACCTTCCCTCCTTTCCTCAGGATGGTAGATCCAGGGCACAATTTAAAGATCCTCACCAATTTTCAAACTGAAAAAAATTGAAATGCGTCCTGGCCACTTTGCCAATTCGAGGCCCTGAAACTCTTTCCTCTACAGTAGTTTCCACGGATCTCCCATCCCCACCCCCATGAACAAAAGTGGGTGCTCTGCCAGGCACGGAGAGTGAAACTGGGGGGCAAAACAGAGTGCTTGTGCACAGCCCCCTGTTCTCTCTGTCTTTGAAGCAGATCACTGAATGAACGGAGAGAATAAATTAAAAAAAAAAAAGCTGGGTGGTTATCTCTCTCCTCAGATACTAAAGTCCTCTTCCTCATCCTTTTTTTTTTTTTTTTTTGAGATGGAGTCTTGCTCTGTCTCCCAGGCTGGAGTGCAGTGGCACCAACTTGGCTCACTGCAAACTCCACCTCCCGGGTTCAAGCGATTCTCCCACCTCAGCCTCCAGAGTAGCTAGGACTACAGGCGCATGCCACCATGTCTGGCTAATTTTTTTTTTTTTTTTTTGGTATTTTTAGTAGACATGGGATTTCATCATGTTGGCCAGGCTGGTCTTGAACTTCTGACCTCCGATGGTCCACCCACCTCGGCCACCCAAAGTGTTGGCATTACAAGTGTGAACCCTCCATGCCTGGCCCTCCTCATTCTTCTTTGGATGACAAGGGAGATGTATGTAGGGAGAAGGCTATATTTTATGGAAGCGCAATTGAATAAGAAAATCATAGCACTGAGTTAAGGCAGAAATCAGTGATAAAAAAGAGGTCTGAAATGGCCATGGTATACATTGATACCCTTTGGAATCAGGGATGATGTAACCACATGTATTCATTATTCCAAGTAGCAGCATCAGAACATGCAATGCCTTCCTGGAAAAGCTCACAGTAGCCATGAACCACAGAGAGGAGAGTATGTTGTGGGTGATGGACACAGGGAGCCAGGGTGGAGGGGGACTTGGGTGTTCCTGGCAGGAAAGTCATCAGTGAGCCCAGTGGGCATGGCTTCCTTTGGCAGAAACCAATATTAAATTCAAATGTTTTCTCTAAGCATTCTAGCATCTTGTCAAGTTTTACGACTTTTGCTTGTAAAGAAGAAGCCTCAGATTTAGCTTTAGCAGAGCAGAGGCCAAAGAAACTAGAAGATATTTTGGTGAAGTTGATTCAGTTATGTAAAAAGATGTTGCTGCTTTTAGCTTCGACACTCCCTATTGGCTTTCACTGAGCCCCATTCAACCTGTTCCGTTTTATTAAATAGAAAGAAACTCATTGACTGATTCTTGTTCCAAAGGTAAATTTTCAAAGAGAGAAGGCTAAACATGTCTTTAACTCTACTCAAGTAAATGTTTGAGGTTGTGAATATGCTAATTACCCTGATTTGATCATTACACAACGTGTTCATGTGTCAAAACATCACACTGTAACCCATAATTGGAATGTAGATGGAGCTCAAGGCCATCATGCTTAGCAAACTAATGCAGGAACAGAAAACCAAACACCGCATGTTCTCACTTACAAGTGGGAGTTAAGTGATGAGAACACATGGAGACATAGAGGGAACAACACACACTGAGGTCTACCAGATGGTGGAGGGAGCCGGGAGGGAGAGGATCAGGAAAAATAATGAATGGGTACTAGGCTTAATACCGGAGCAATGCAATAATCTGTACAACAAACCCCTAAGAAACAAGTTTACCTACATAACAAACCTGCACATGTACCCCTGAATTTAAAATGTAAGTAAAAAAATCAAAACAATAAACATATGCAATTATCATGTGTCAATTAAAAACAAAATGCAAGTAGAAAAAATAACAATAATAGAGGAGACACCTTAAAAGACTAAGACTTTCAATACATTAAAAAAAAGATGCATTTACAAATAAACTATGGAACGTAGACACAAAAGCAATAGAGCTTGAAGGTCCACAATGACCAGTTCTTGCACATGTATGTCCCTGTCCCCACACCCAAGGCCAAGCTCCTTGCATGTTAGACCTTTGAGGCTAAGAAAATTTGCTTAATCCCTGATCTAGGATTAAAGGCAGTTTAGATCATCTGACTAGAGCTATCATGTAGTTCAGATGATACATTCCCATACAATGAAGTCTAAAAATAAAAGTCAACTAGAATCTAAATTCCCAAAAGAGAAGCAAAGAGTAGAATGGTTGTTGCCAGGAGCTGGCGGGGCAGGGAGCAGGGAGGGAGGAGAAGGAGGGAGATGTTAGTTAAGGGATACAAAGTTTCAGTGACACAAGATGAACAAATTCTAGAGATCTATTGTACAGCATGGTGACTACAGTTAGTAATAATGCATTATATACCAGAAAATTGCTGAGATTAGATCTTAAGTGCCCTCAACAACAAAAGGGTAAATATGTGAGGTGATGCACATGTAAATTAGCTTGATTTAATCATTCCACAATGTATACATACATTTGTCCCTTGGTATCTGTGGAGCATTGGTTCTAAGACCCCTGAAGATACCAAAATCCCTATGTAAAATGGGGTAGTATTTGCACATAACCTAAGTACATCCTCCCATATACTTTAAATCATCTCTGGATTACATATAATACCTATTAATAATATAATGTACATACCATTTAAATAGTTGTTATATTGGGAGGCCGAGGTGGTGGATCACCCGAGGTCAAGAGTTAGAGAGTAGCCTGGCCAACATGCAGAAACCCCATCTCTACTAAAAAATATAAAAATTAGCTGGGCTTGGTGGTGCACACCTGTAATCCCAGCTACTTGGGAGGCTGAGGCAGGAGAATTGCTTGAGCCCAGGAGGCAGAGGTTGCAGTGAGCTGAGATTGCACCATTGGGCTCCAGCCTAAGAGACAGAGCAAGACTCCATCTCAAAAAAAAAGTTGTTATACTCTATTATTTTTATTTGTATTATTTTTATTGCTGTATTATTATTTCTTATTGGCTTTCTTTCCCTGAAAATTTTTTTTTTTTGACACAGTCTCACTTTGTCACCCAGGCTGGAGTGCAGTGGCACAGTCTCAGCTCACTGCAACCTCCACCTCCTGGGTTCAAGTGATTCTCATGTCTCAGCCTCCCAAGCAGCTGGGACTACAGGCATGCACCACCACACCTGGTTAATTTTTTTGTATTTTTAGTAGAGACAGGGTTTTGCCATGTTGGTCAGGCTGGTCTCGAACTCCTGACCTCAGGTGATCCACTTCTCTCGGCCGCCCAAAGTGCTGGTATTACAGGCATAAGCCACTGTGCCAGGCCTTTCCCTGAATATTTTTGATCCGAGGTTGTTTGAACCCATAGATGCAGAACCCATGGATATAAGGAGTCAACAGTGTATCAAAACATCACTCTATACACCACAAATACACAATTTTCATTTGTCAATTATACTTTAATGAAGCTGGGAAAATAAATAAATGAATAAACTTCCAAAGAATTTCAATTAAGTTTGCAGGCATTTGACCCTTGATGACTTTTTAGTGGCTGTTAAGGAAATTCAAGACACATCCAAAGCCTCAGAGAGCAATATATATATATACATATATTTTATTTTTATTTATTTATTTATTTATTTTTTGAGATGGAGCCTTGCTCTGTCACCCAGGCTGGAGTGCAGTGGCACGATCTCAACTCACTGCAACCTCTGCCTCCCGGGTTCAAGTGATTCTCCTGCCTCAGCCTCCCAAGTAGCTAGGACTACAGGCATGCGCCACCATGCCCAGCTAATTTTTGTATTTTTAGTAGAGACAGGGTTTCATCATATTGGCCAGGATGGTCTCGAACTCCTGAGTTCAAGTGATCCACCCATCTTGGCCTCCCAAAGTGCTGGAATTATAGGCATGAGCCACCATGCCCGGCCTCAAAGAGCAATGCTACTGTTTTCCCCAAGACACTGTTTGACTGTTTCTCTCTCTGATTCAGATGATATGTTCCTCCAAAAGCTGCGCTTCCCACATTCGCCCCTTGTCTATTTTAATAATAATAATGATAACCTGTCATTGATTGAGCGCACACATGGTATATACAGAACTGTGCACTTTCACATACAACTGTGCCCTCTCACATCCTATGAGATGGTACAATTGTCTCTATTTGCAAATGAGAACACTGAAGCTCAGAAGCATTTGATCATTTCTGCAGGGTCACATGGGATTTGTAGAGCAAGTGCATACCCCAGAACAGAAATTTAGTTGAGATGTGCCAGTTTTCACCGGTATTTTTTGCTTCCTTATTTATTTTTCCATGGGAGACACAGAAATACTGGTACCAGGGCTGATCAAGAGCCCTCACTGTACATAACTAAGCAAGAAACACACACAAAATTCCAGGTAGACTGAGCCCCCACTGCACTGGTATTCCGACAGAAGAGCTCTTTCTTCTCAGAAGGAAGTGTTTGTTTCTGCACAGTCCTTAGATCTGTCTCACAGAGCTCTATGATTACCTAGAGGTTTGGGCTGCTTCAGAAATGGCTATACATTTTGATTCTTGAAAACACATTTTTCTTCCAATACCGCCTATCTAATCGCTTACATACTATTGATTTTGCACTTCAGTCAGTGCAGGGATGATTTCAAAAAAGTCCTCCAAAGACAAAAAAAATTGCTAAACAACGAAGGACAGTGAGAAAATATTTGGTTTGTAACAACAGAAACTGAAGAAAACTGTCTGTTTCTGAGACTTTCATTGTATCTATTTTTCTGTCTAAAATAACCTTTGTGCTCATTACAAAAATGTTCTGTCAGCTAAACCTTTGAGACTCCAGCTCTAATTTTTAAACTAAACAAGAGTAGTGGGCTTGTGGTATTTAATTTGCACCACAATTCACAGGTGCAGAGACAATGTTATCTATTTGTCTATCTCCCATTGATCTTCCGCATCAGTCCCCAGCCAGGGTAGTGCGCAAATTGTTTCGTCCAGTTTAAATCGTTGCATCTCAAAATTTAATCAATCTTTTGAAGTGGTGGTCAGTATCCCATGTCTGCCCTTTCTATGTCTTTCCCCAAGAGACACTTAGGTAAATGGAGTCAGGAGTCTTCTTGATCTTGTGGCAACGGGGAAGGGTTCGAATCTTTGGGTGCAATGTGGTCAGGGTCATCTGGTGTCTGGGTGTCAACCAAAACCACATGGCACTGCCTGCCTCCCCACCTTGGCATTTGTAGCTTGGACTCCAAAGGGGTCAGGCCAGAGCAGAGTGCTCCCAGGCTGTCTAGGCCTCACAGTAGGTCCTGCTGACTGCAGACGGCTGAATCTCTGCCCTGGCTTCCAGCCAGCTAGCTCCAAGGGGTCCCCTACTTCCATGGCAGCATGCCTAGCAAGCCCTGTCTTTCAATGTCAAAGTTCATGGGCATGAAAAGGTAGGGAATACCAGCCCTCAGTGCCTCACTGGGACCTGGATTTCTGCTGAGCCTCGTGAACTCCGATGTGGCTGCACCATGATTGAGGAGCCAGCACCGCAGATGTGGCCTGCACTTTTCTAGTGCAATTGCCCAGGCCAGGCCAAAGCCCAGAGTGGAACAAAAAGTCACATCTGCTTGCTCAATTTTCCCACTTCTATCTATCTTCTCCTTCCATAATTCCAACAAAATTGTGGGACAGAAAGAAACAGATTGATCTTCTATGCTCCCTTTTGTTATTTTTCTCCTTTCTGACTCCAGCCTATGGTTAAGCTTTAAGTGACAGACTGGAGTACCTTTTCTACTCCAAAGATAGAATTTGATGGTCCAAGACTTCTGGCCTCAGCCCTCTATATGCTAAGAAAAAGAAGGACTCTTTCTTGTTATTTTTCCTTTATTTCTTCCTTTGCAAATCCTAGTTCACCTCCAGGGAAATGGAGACTTTAGGTTAAGTCAGAAGAAAATTTATACTCAAAAGGCAAAAGAAAAAGCAAAATAACATTTTATGAGAATCTGTATTAATCCTGCCACTGATGCCTCTACACTTATTTACCAGCACCAAGATGTGTTTTACTGTTGCAATGTTTCTTTCCAAAAGGGAGTATTCTCACAGAAAATACATAGAACAATGCTTCCTAGCTGTCAGGATTGCAGAAAGAATCAGAAGTTGGAAATTAGTAACTGCCCATCAAATGTCCTAAATTGGAAAGAAACAATAATAGATGTGAGAAACATGGACAAGAGGTTCAACATCCACCCTCAGTTCAGGAAACTTTCTCTGTAGCTACAAGTAAATCACATGCCCGTCTCTCTGAGCCTTCATTTCTTCATCTGAGACAAGGGAGGCTTGTCCTATGATCTGGGATGCCTCTTCTAAGAAACTATGCTTCCAGAAGAAGACAATTTTCCTTGAAATCATGTATGATAATGTATAATGTACATAGATGTCATTGCTGTTATTGAGTTAAAAGGTCAAACACAAAGTAAGCAATTCTAAGCACTATAGAGATGTTATCTAACGAATATATCCCTATAAGTGCTTTTAAAAATTTATATTTTTCTGAAAAGGATAATGTAGCCTCACTGGGATACAACTTGATTCTACTGTACAGTAGCAATGCATTTCCTGCAACACAATATTGTGGGAAGAGAAGGCAGAATGAGGCCCAGTGCCTACCTTCTCGGTACTTGAGCAGAATGTCCCACAGGCTATGCCGGGAGCAAGGGTCCACCCCACTGGTGGGCTCATCCAGAACCACGGTCCTCGACATGCCCATGAAAGCAATGCCAAGGGAGAGCTTCCTCTTCAGGCCTCCAGACAGAGCTCGGGTCTGTTTGTGCTGATGCTGAGTTAAGTCCACATCCTGAAGAGTTCTGAAATTAGAAGAAAACATCACTCTTCTCCCTGAACACCTTAAAACTTTGCTTCTAATTTCACTCCAGAAATAATGACTAACAGTGGCTGAAATCGTTATAAACCACAAATATATCACAGAGGTGTGGATGCTACACACACGTGAGTCTCACCAGAGCAGCATTGACTTTCTTCAGGTTCAGATGGAACCACGCCAAGGGACACCAACCGTGATGCAGACCAGCAATATCTGCCCAGAATTGTGCTTGGAAATGCTTGCATTGTCTCCTCTCTGGAGAAGCATGTCTCTCATTTCACTCATACCTTCTGCCAGGGAGGGCCCTGCATCCCTCTACAGGGTATGGAGTATGGTGGAATGGCTGATGTACCAGTGTGGTCAGAAGAAGCAAGGCAGGCCCAGCTCTACTGCTCAGCAGAGAAGCCCTTCACTCCCTGGCCACTGTCCACTAAATCTGGATCACCCGACCTTCCTGATTAATGCAGATGTTCCAGTGAAATGCCACGTGCAAAGTATAAATTATCATTTGCTATTAATGTAAGAACAAGTGTCCTGTTCCGTTGCAGGGATCTTTCAGTCTTAGGAGTTCCAGATCTCAGATACCCAGTGCAAAGCCTTCCCCATGTGAAACTTTACCCCTCTTCCAGGGATCCACTCTCTTTTCTCACAAATAACTTCCCTCACCACTGTGGCCCTGTTAACTCTACAGGAATACTTACTGCCCTCATCACCTATTTACCATCTTACTCATTGTTACAAACCCAGTTTAAACAATGCCTTCCTGAAACCTTCCCTTGACCACTCAAACCAAAGTGGAGTGTCTCCTCGGAGCTGCAGGCATGTTTCTACCTTCCTGATAGCCAGCAGCTGAAGTCATGGTGCCATTTTGCAGCCAGAGAGAAGGCTAGACAGGCAGAAGAGGATTTGACATGTTCCAGACAGTTGAGCTTCAAGAATAGTTGGGGCCTGGAACATTCCAGAATTCCAAGCAAAGAATTGGGTGAATCCCATTTTCTGCCTGATGACTAAGTAAATATTTAATGTAAATACTTCCCATCCTGAACTAGAAAGAGTTCAAGCCCACTTCTTAGGGTTTAGTGTTCACTCTGTGCACTTAATGTTTCATCCAAGTCTTATAGTGCATTTTCTGCTGGTTAAATCTCAACCTAAATTTATAGTAATAATTTATGCTCCTGTTTTTCATGTGTTCCCAGTGTGGACAACACCCTATTGGAAGGAGGAAGACAAATGTTTCCATTTCACCAGGTAACTGCCTAGCCCTGCAATCTCCCAACACATTCCCAGCTGCGAGATTCCAATCTAGCAGAGGAGGTCGATCTATTAAACTTAGCACATTAACCAGAGATCAGTCAGCAGAGAAGACAAATAGACAAGAAAACAAGTCAGTAAGATGTCAGATGTTCTCAAACGTGCATGTTCTGGTTACCTTTCTGTGTTCAACCCCAAACCCCTCCTTCTTCATTTCTTCCATTGGTACTACTTGGGATGTCTATGGTACCCTCTGGGGTGGCCCCACGCTGCTGCCTCATTGTGCACCCTAAGCAAGCTGGAAGCCTACCTCCTCTTCATACACCTGGCATTGAACTTCAGGAACGCTTCTGGCCCCCTGCACTTTGTCCCCACCTGTGCAGTCCTTCACAGAACCTTCACTACACAGGTGTCAAACAAGATGTAAGCAAAAGGGACCAACCATGCTTCTACAATCAAATTTATGCAAAGAAGCTGGGGCCTGCTCTCTATTATATCTTATGCAACTGGTTAGCATTAAACTGACCGATCTGGTTCACTCTGTATTTTTACTTCTGTTTTTAGTGGAGGCCTGTTTTCCTGATGCACTTTGAATTTCAATATACAAACACATTTTATGGACAATTTTGCTCCCCATAGTGTGTGTGTGTGTGTGTGTGTGTGTGTGTGTTTTAAAATTCTTGAAGCCAAGAGCAGTAGGTAATAATGATAGGGTGGAGGAAGTGAGGATGAGGGTATTTCATTCATGTGTATTTTATAAATTCTTGCAAGATTGCACAAATGGTCTATAGCATCATAGGTGCTGGTTGCATATTGGGTATAAAGGTAGGGGCATCAAAGAGCAACGAAGCACAGGTCCTTCTGCAGGAAATCAGAGTTATCTAGATAAATCATGTGTATATATCCAATTAGGACACAATGAGATAAATGTTACAGATGAAGTATAATCAACATGCTATGGGAAGCTCACAGGAGATGGTGAGTTATTGGTCTTGGAGAGGTCCAACTTAAAGTAGAACTTTCTATCACATCACAATACTGTAGAATCTATAATTCTGAAGAATATCATTCATTCATTTCATAAACGCTTTCCTACAGAGGAAATCCCAGTCACTTTATTTTATTTTTTAAATGTTAGCTCCAAGCCTAGATAATCATATTTAACATTTATTAGACATGTATCATACACTGGGTACTACTAGTCTAAGTGCTTTGTGTGTATAAATTATTATAATCCACATAACCTCCAAATGAGGGTCTTCTCATTATTAGAACCACATTGTATTTGGAAAACCCAAGAGAGAGATAGCATATATTGTTAAAAGCTTTCTAAGTGGAAGAACTGCATTTAACCACTAGCACTCTGAAGCCAGAATACACACTGGCATCCACTGGGTCCCTGTGACACGTATCATATGTACCTGTTAAGTGTCTCACCCCCCACATGGACTGGGGCTTCCCCAAGAACAAGCCCCTTTACTTATTATGTCTGTTTTCCCAGAACCAGGCATGGAGGCTGAAGATAATTAGCACTCATGGCATTTTAATCAGTGAATATAATATCCACTAAGGTCAATGGAAGTAAAAGTCCTTGACTTATTTTGTACAGAATGACACATTCCTAGGACTCTAAGCCACTGAGGCATTGGCCAGGGTCAGCAAAACAATGTCTGAACACCTATCATTGCAGCAGGAAGAGAACCCCATTGCAAAGCCCAGTCATTTCCACTCTGCTGGTTTCTGGGCATTGTTCATATGCTTAGAGTGGACTTAAAAATTAAAGAAGACAGCAATTTGTAAACACTGGCCAGAAGTTTTTAATCTGTTGAATTTTTTTTAATTTTAAAGTTATTTAGAGGCTAGTGTTTTTCTAGTTATTGATCTTATACATATCAAAAAGAAGCAAATAATTTTTTCAAAGTTACATTTCCAAATTCCTTCTCAAAAGGACAGGATAATCCTCTAATTGAGAACATTGCTAGGCAGCAGGGAAAGGAGGAAAAGATATTTTCTCCTATTATGACCCAATTATGCACCAGAGAATGTGTTTCAGATGCTGCTCTTTAATCATCCATTCATTTATTCAAGGAATGTTTACTGAACCCCTACAATGCCTGGCACCTGCCACCTGCTAGGGCTAGAGAAATAAATCAAATCTTATCCTTGATTCAAGAAATTCAAGGTCTAGTGGAAAAGACAGGCAAGAAATTATAATAAGAGTATAGGTAAGTAGGGTAATGATAAAGTCCCAGGAGCTATAGGGATTCCCTCTGACTCCAGAGACAGTGGCATATGAAATCAGTCAGATGGGTAGTGAGAGTAAGTGAAGTGGGGATGCTTGAACAGTGTGTTCCAGAAAAAAAAAAAAAAGAGGAAAGCACTTGCCAGGACCTGGGGGAGAAAGAATAGCATATGCAAGGAACAAAGAGATTCTGTCCTTGAAATACATGGAAAACCATACAATGACCTCAGATAAGACAGGAGAGAAAGGCTTGAGCCAGAACACATACCCATCATAAATCCTGTTCTATAACTGCTGTTTCTTTCCTTCACTGGGTCTCCATGTGGGGCAGGTGTCTCCTTTTGTCTCACTGTGACCTTCCCCACCTCTGCTGAAGCCCCCAGCCTTGAATCTCAGGTCATCTGAGCATATCATCCACTGTTGGGTGTTGTTGTCATTGCTGTTGTCATCTACCCATCCCTGAATCTGCTCTTGTGCACTGTCTCTTTCTTCAGCTCTACTCTTATCATTATTCTTAGAGATTTTATTAGTATTTGTTGTAGCATATCCTCCCTTCACTCCACCAATCCCATTTACTCACAACCAAGTTACATCCTAGACCTTGTAATTTCTAACAAACACATCTTCTCCAGGCTCTCAATTCCATGCATCCTCTTCTGACTAGTTAACTTTATAATCCCTTCTGTGCATGCACTCTACCTTGAAAAACAATGAAGCTAATGGAAGTACTCACAGACTCAGCTCTTGGTCCTTCTATTGTAAGTGAGCCTGCTGTGCTCTCAGGAGAGACAACCCCTTGTCTCTTGTCTAAATCCCTTCCCCTGTCCCATACAGAATAGTGTCCCAGCAAGCCACCTGCTCTGTAGCTCAATCCAATTATTCATTCTCTACTGGGGCATTCTCATCTGTGTACAGATATGCTGCTGTGATTCCTGTCTTTGAATTATTTGAATGGAAGAGGAGCATTTTTTCTCTTGACCTCACTTTTCCTTTTTGACACTATCATATTTCTTTGCTTTTTTTGCAGCAAAACTCCTAAGATGTGCTGCTGCCAATTTCTCTTCTTCCGCTCTTTCTTTAACTGACTCTAATAAGACCTTCATTCCCTTCACACTACTAAAATTGCTCTTCCAGAGGTCACTAGAGCCCTCCACATACTAAATCCAAAGGCCATTTTTTAAGTCTTCATTTTACTTGACCCTCAACAGCATTTACGGTCTGATCACACCCTCACCATTAGTGGACTTGGTTCACTTCCTTGTCTTCCACCTTTGCTACTGATTTCTCTTTCTTGCCTGCTTGGCTGTTTTCTCCCCATCTCTCCATACACTCCATGTTGGAGTGTCCAGGGATCAATGCTTTGTCCCCTCTTCTAATCTTCCTTCACTTATGCCCTCAATGATCTCATTACTATCAAACAAATGTACCTCCAACCTGAGTTGCATGGTGAACTCCAGAACTCTAAGTAGTAACGTTAACTACATAACAACATCACACTGACTTAAAGGTCTAACAAAGTTCCTCTCTTGACTATGCTTATCTTCTTTAGGCCAAATTAAGGGCAAAACAGTAATGATCTGAATCTTGACACATGTTTACTCTAAAGATTCTAGCAGGGATGCAACCTCCCTTGAAGTCACATTTTAATGAAGCTACACATTAAGGAAACCAAGCGGTGATACAGGAGAGTAATAGGGAGCATGTTGGATCTAAATCAGATGTTTGCAGTTTTCCCTTTCTCTAATTGAAGACTACCATCCTAAAACATGATCTTATTCTGGTTGCTTTTGTGCAAATTGGCTTTGTTGCTAGGTAACACTCTGTGCGCTGATAATCATTAAGGTTGCCTGGCACCCAAAAAAAGATGAAGCAAATGTAGCATTGTTAGGTGTTTGATTTAAGCTCCCAATCTCAATCACAATAGAGTTTACTGTGGTCTAGGGTAGATGCATTTTAAAAAATTACAATAGGTAACCTATGACTTGTTTTAAAGAAATCAGGTTGGACATAGCCAATTTGCTATCTCATAATATATAGTCCATAAGATACCTAGCTATTTCTCGTTAAGTACCCACTCAAATTTAAGACAGCTTTCAATAGTACAAACTAAATATTTTCCATGTATATCCAAGTGTCCACTGTCATTAACATTATTACTATTTCCAGCCATTCTCTGAAGACAGCACAAGATGTGAACCAGCCACCTTCCAGTAGAGAATGCCCTCCAGTAGAGATTATGACAATAATGTGAATGCTGAGCGGGGGACAAAAGAAGAAAGGATGATTTAAATAAAATGTATAGTATCATCCATCACTTTAACAATGGACTTCGGTCCCTCAAGGACTTTTTCCATCAATTCAGGCTTAATTTGCACATGGCCCTCACAGTGTCAGCATCCATCCAGAAGGAGATTTGGCTTTTTCCACACATGCATTTATAGTATAGCTGGTCTCTAAACACAGGCACGAATTTCAATTTGAGATCATCTAAACAAATACTGATCCCATCCAAGTATGGAAAAATAAAACTGTGCAATGCAGTGGTGCATTTCTAGAGAGCCACTTTGTCATTTTCCAATGCTGCTCTCCACTAAAAGATTTTCAGGGGTAATGTGAGCATGGTTTTCCCCAGTGCCCTCCTTTCAGACCCTGACCCCTGGGTAATATGTGCCTCTACCATATTCTTTTTTTTTTTTACAATTTTAATTTTTTTTATTATAAGGAGTTTTTTGACACTTTGAAAGAAATGAGTATATATTGCAAATTACAATTTGCAGTATAAGAATTCAGTAAGAAAAAAACCATTCATTTGGCTTATCTTGTTCAGAACTTGCTGTGCTCCCTAAAACTGAGGATTGATGCATTTCAACTCTACAAAATTCTCAGGCAATATCTCTTGGAGTATCTGTTCCCCTTCCCCATTTTCTCTGGAACTAGCAATATGCTGTATTCTCATGTCCTCCAGGTCTCCTAATTTTGCGATTCAAAACTACAAAGAATTGATCAATACAAGGCCACAGTGCACTCATCACACTCAAGAATCAGCAAACTCCCAGCAGGGCTCAACCCACAAGAACTGAAGCTAATCCATCAATCTGATAGAGGTAAGCAAATTTAAAATAATTCAAATATAAAAGGACACAAAAACAGACACTATGAAAAGAGAAAAGCCTCTACCGTATTCTGTGTTTGTGATCTTGTTTTGTTTCGTATCTCCAAAAGAATGTTCATAATACTGCCTCATTTAGCCCCTCTAGGATCCCGTGTTTGCAATCTGACCTTACTGGGGTGAGATTCCTTCAAGAGAAATGCCCCAGAGGCAGGTTCCACAATGCACCAGCGATCCTTCATCCACACGTTCCCCACTGTGGGTTGCTAGTGACACACCTGCCCTGCCTGCCAAGTTCCGAGAGTGCATTTTAAAGCTACTGCATTCACTAACCCCAGGGAGAGCAACTGTTAACAAATCACCTTCACTTCTCAGACTCATGGAATCCCCAATGAGGGTCCGTACTCCCATTAGGGCATCAACACTAGAAATGTGCTAGAGAATCTGCCCTCTCTCCGCCTAGTGGGTTTTGTCTTTGCAGAGACCATGCCCACATGCTACAACGTAGTGGCCAGCTTGAAAGAAAGGCAGCAGAAGGCACTTTGCATCTGAGAGTCCTAGGTCAGATCCTGGCTTCCCTCTCCGAGCTGCATGGCACCATCTCCTGGAGCCTCTGCCCATATCCCAGGGAAAAGACACTTGAATGAGATCACTCATGTAAGTTCCTGGCACATATCCACCATAGCGGCTGGCACAAAAAAAAGATGTTAAACAAATGAAAGTCCTCCTTTATACAATGTAGGTAGCCATTGCAGAGGTGAGGCTGGAAGCAGAAGGCCCCTCTGGCCATCTGAGAGAGCCCACAAGGGGCTTCTTTCCTGCCCTGGCCCACATGGCCTGCACAACATCCCAAGGCCATGGTGGGAGGGGATCTGGTCCTTGAAGGATCTCAGGATTTGGGCACACCAAGGAAACTGAGGTAGCAGTGGAGGGGAGGGTAATAAATAAGGAAAACCAGCATGGGCAGGAGCACAGGCCGGCAGTGCCCTGGTGGGAGCCTAGCACCACAGCTGGCCTCAGCATCAGAAACCTCCAGACTCCTTCAACTCACATCTCTAAGACAAACTCATCACTTTCCTCTCCCCAACTTCTCAAATAGGCTCTCTCTATACACACAGCTGACCCTTGAACAATGCAGGGACTTAAAGCACCACACTGTACACAGTCAAAAATCTGTGTATAACTTTCAACTCCCCAAAAGCTTACCTACTAATATTCTACTGTTGACTGGAGGCCTTGCCAATAATGTAAACAGTCAGTTGACACCTCTTTTGTATGTTATATGCATTACATGCTGTATGCTTACAATGAGGCAAGCTAGAGGAAAAAAATGTTATTTAAAAAAGCTTAAAGAAGAGAAACTATATTTACTATTGTCTAACTAGAAGTGGATCATCATAAAGGTCTTTATCCTTGTCATCTTCACGTTGAGTAGGCTGAGGAGGAGGAGGAGGAAGGGGAGAGCTGGTCTTGCTATCTCAAAGGTGGTTGAGGCAGGTCAGGCAGAGGAGAAGGAAAGGTAGCAGAAGAGGTAGGCACACTGGGTGTTACTTGTATTGAAAACATTTGAATATAAGTAAGACCTGCAGGGTTCAAACCTGTGTTGTTCAAGAGTCAACTGTATGTTGAAAAACACTGTGCTTGCCTGAGCCAGACATCTGGGGAATACCATGGACGCCCCCTCCTCTCTTATTCCCCATTGGGTCTGCATCTCCCTTTCCTCCTCACCCTACTGGACCTCTCCTGGCCTAATCTGTTCTTAGTGCAGGAGCCCCCAGCTCTCCCTGCGACTTGGGCTCACCCCAGCCCACCCCATCCTCCACCTGCAACTGGAGAGAGTGTGTGAACCATCATTAGACGGCCATCGTATCAGGTGCTCAGCACTCTCCAGAGGCCTCATGCCCATGGACAGCCTAAGGAACAAAACCTAAAATCTTGCAAGGCTTAGGAAGCTTCTGTAATGTGCCTGTGCACAGGCCTGCAAGAGAGAGGCCTGTGGACGCTCTAAGCTGCACATGCTGTAACATATTGCAGCCCACCCACTGCAGTCAACCCCAGTTCATCCTTACTCATCCTGTAGCCTGCTGCTCAATCATTACCTCTGCTATGACCCTTCACCATACAACCAAGGGCAGCTGACCCCCTGCACCCACTTCACACACCCCCCAGTAGAGCTTATTCAGCTTCATTGTTTGCACCTGAGGTTTCTTTCTGAACTCAAGGGGGTTGAGGGATAAAATAAAACAAATATGGTGCAGTATATACTGCTCAAGCGATGGGTGCACCAAAATCTCACAAATCACCACTAAAGAACTTACTCATGTAACCAAATACCACCTGTACCCCAATAACTTATGGAAAAAATATAAAAATAAAAATTGAAAAAAAAATCCAGTTATTCAACTCAAAGAATGCTTATTATACTATAGTGAACCAAACAGACTACGTCCCTGTAGTCAAGGGGTTTGCTATCTGGTGGAAAGAAACAGAAGACTAATACACAGAGGCTGTCATGAAATGATAAATGTCGTAAATAAGAGCCAGAGAAATAGAGGGGACTCAGGAGAGTGAGTGGGAAGTTGTTCTGGACAGAATGCTCAGGAAGTCTGCTCTGGTAAGATGGTGTCTGAGAAGAGCCAGGACGGCAGTGAGGCAGGCTACACACGGAGCCCATCACAACACGAACGCAGCGAAGGGCCTGTTCAGTGTGCTCAGGGATCCACCATAAGACCAGCGCAGCAGGCACCACACAATGAAGGATCAGGTAAAGCAAGAGAGGCTGGCAGGGCTTTATAAATTTATATTCCAAAGGAGGAGGGTTTTGAGGTGGAAGGGGGCACTCATAATAAATCTGAGACAATAGGCACAAGAATGTAAATTACACAATTGTAGGCCTCCATACCTTTAGATTATACCTCAAGTGATGTGAGTCCTTGAAGGGCAGTTGGCAGAGAAGGGCCAGGACCTGGGTACATTTCTAAGGAGCACTCCATGTGGAGTACTGAAAGCACGTGACATCAGGAAGCTAGACCATGATCTGGGGAGAACAGCTGGGGGTTGGGTTTGGGGACAAGATAAGCTTTGCAGAAGTGAGCCAAAGGGGCTGGAGGAAAGGGTAGAAGAAGCCGACAGCAGGCAGGAAGGCCAGCTGCAGCCCTGGCATCTCTACAGAGGCATGATGCAGGGGTGACCTGCAATGGCAGGGATGGAGAAGCAAGCAATGGCACCTGGAGAGGCCAAGTAAAAGGAAGGGTGGAATGGAGCATTCTCATTGCAAACGTTTTACTTGGTCTCTGGTCATATCGCCAACGGCACATGGAATGTGTGACAACTTTAAGACTCATTCTTCTTTTTCTCAGTGTTCCAGGGCTAGAAACACCAAGGTAGAGCTCCACCATCATGAAGCACATAGCGGAAAAAGTGGTAAAGAAATAAGGTTACACCATACAAAACAACACCCAAACCCTGTGAGCTTTCACCTTAATTAAATGCAGATTGTAAATACTTATTTATAAATGTAAAGCTTGCAAAAATATTGTAAAATAACAATATTCTGTAAGAATTCATGACATTCACATTTTCTTCTTAGGAATGTGCAGTCCATTACCAGTTATACTTACATGCTTGCCTCCAAGGGCCCCTTCCCCACACACTCACGCCATGGTTGACGTTCTGCTTTGCAAAGTCCATCCATTGGAATTGCCAAGCATGCAGCACTAGCCCCAGGAGGCCAGAGCCATGCATCTTCCTGAGGGGGCAGAGCCCAGCACAGGACAGACGGCCTGCACACTTAACTACCACTGTTTGCTGAATCGATGACCCCAGCACTGGATTAATGTTTCTATCTCCAGCTACTCTCCATGACTTTCATTGCTCCACTTCCCCTCCAATCCATGCTTCCATGGTCATCACCCTCAAACACCACTTTGTTCTCTAATCAGGAACCTACTGTCTCTCCCTTTTACCTCTGGTCTAAACTTCTATCAATGTCCAATGAGCCAGGGCACACTGCCTGGATTTTGCCTTGCTTCCCATCCTGGATACCCTACTTCCTTTCCACTTCTCCCCACATATTCTCAACTCTAGATCTTCCTTGTGCTATTCCACTTTCATATAGGGTTCAGCCCCCCATGTGGACCAACCAATGTCCTACCAATTGTTTGTGACCCTACCGGGAGTTCTCTGCTCCCTGCCTTGTGCAACCAGTTAGTCAACATGACCTGATTCTTCTAAATTTGAATAGTCTTCAAATACAGGCCTTCCTGGCCCATGCACCCCAGTGGCATGACCATAAATCAGGCTGTCACCACCTCTTGCCTACACTGGCCACTCTGTATCTAGTCTCTCCCATGGCACCTGCTATGATCTAGCAGGAGAGATCTTCCAGATCTCAGGCTAATCACAGTCCCCCACTCATGAACACCTACTTGCTCAGTGAAGTTCAAACTCCTTAGCATGACTAATAAGGCTCTTTTTTTCTTAATCTTTGTGTGTGTGTGTGACAGGAAGGAAGGAAGGAGTTGAGGAAGAGCTAGGGATCAAGGAGAGAAAAGGCAGACTAATCAGCTTCTTGACAACCAGTTTTCCCGCTGCCTTTGAATTCTTTTCATTTCAGGACACCCCTAGGGACCTTTTACTCCAGATACACAAAGTTTCCATCAACAGCCTCTGTGCTTACATGTGCTCATCTCTTCCACATTTCAAAGACAAATCAAATCAAATTCAATGCCTTCCCACAGAAGCCTTTTCTGACATTCTCAGTGTTGGTGGCTGTGTCATAATTCCATAGTTAACAACCATTTGCTAATTATTTCATCTTATAAATGTAGACACAGATGATTTTTTAAGTGTCTCTTTCTATTGTCTTCACTTCCTTACACAATGGGCAGAGGCAGGAGGAGCAGAGAGACAACTGTTTACTAACTGATTGACTTGCTGATGCAGCTCCTTCTTGGTCCACTGAGGCGCCTTTATGGAAGCAAAGAGCAGCAAATGTTCCCGGACGGTGAGGTTGTCCAACAGGATGTCCTGCTGCGGACACACACCAAGCTCCATTCTGACCCTCGACAGGTCTGTCTGTAGGTTCTTGCCATTGATGATGATGGTTCCAGAAGTGGGAGGGTGGAGCCCCGTCAACATGGATCTGCCAGAGAAAATAAGACAGCATGGAGAATACGCGTTGCTGATACTGTGAACGTCAGCAATCCAGTCAGCTCCAGGATGGCGCATGCATCCTGCCAAGAGCACTCACCTTCTGCTGACCTGGTTTTTACACAATCAGTTAAAAGGTGTGAGTAGTTTGAGGGTACATTGGCTGGTTGATGTTGAAAATGTGAGTTTAACATGTTATGCTACCACATGAAATAAAAATGCTCCTTGACTTCTGATTGGGTTATGTCCCAATAAACCCATAAAAAGTTGAAAATATTGTAAGTCAAAAATCTATTTACATCTAACCTACCTAACATCACAGCTTAGTCTAGCCTACCTTAAGTGTACCCAAAACATTTACATTAGCCTACAGCTGGGCAAAATCATCTATCACAAAGCGTATTTTATAATAAGGTGTTGAATATCTCTTGCAATTTATTGAATATTGTACTGAAAGTAAAAAGCAGAATGGCTGTATGAGTCCTCAGACTATGGTTTCTACCTAATATGTATCACTTTCACACCATCATAAAGTCAAAATATCATTAAGTTGAACCATTGTAAGTCTGAACTGCAATCATAGAGCATTATAGTTGTATGGGACTTTAAGATGATAACATTCAACTTTTTACAGATGAGGAAACATGCTAAAGAAATGACATATATACCTAAATCCTCATCATTAAATATAAGCAAAACAGAGATACAAAGCTAGGCCCCAACCCTGGAGCCAGTCTTCTTTCCGCTGCTCCCGGGATAGTCTGTGTGTGTTAAAACCACAAGAAATCAAGCAGCCTGCCACCACAAGCTCACATGACCGACTTTACCAACAGAAGCCTCAGAATTGCCTAGTTCTGCTTCCTTGTTTCAGGAAGTTTATTATTTAAGTTTTAAATTGGTTTCTTATTTCTGAAAAGTTAAACATGCCCCTACCACACAGGACCTAGCAAATCCACTCCTTAGTATTTACACATGAGAAATTAAATGTGTGCCGACACAAAGCTGTATGCACAAATGTTCACAGCAGCTGTGTTCACAATCACTGACAAAGAGAAACAACCTCAGTTGCAACCCATGGATGAAAACATAAAGAAGCTGGGTTGCCTCCATATGGTGGATACCACTCAGCTGTCCCAAGGAGCAGGCTGCTGGGCCACCACCACCATGCCTGGGTCCCCAAAACAGTCTGCTGAGTACAAGAAGCCAGACATGATCCCATTTACAAGAAATTCTAGAATAAGTAACCTAGTTTTTAGTGACAAAGAGCAGATCAGTGGTCACATGAAGGCCAGGGTCAAAGGAGAGCACAGGAAACCTTGGAGCAGCATAGAAAGGTTCTGTATTTGTGGTGCTTGTTCCGGCACTAACCAAATGTGTCAAAACTCATCAAACTGTACACATCAACAGATACTGTTTACTGCACAAAAATTAAACCTCGATGAACTTAAAACTCTTTGCTATATTATTTTCAAACCTATCTGGGGGATACTATAAAATAGTTTATACACATTCCCTAGAAGTCTCAAAGACTGTTGTTTTAAATAGTGAAGACCCCCCCGTCTTTGACTGACCTCTCAGCCTTTCATCTAAGAATTGCCAGGTGGAGGCAGCCACTTAGGATGACTCAAAATGTACTACAAATGTACACTAAAAGCAACACAGTCATTGAACTTTAAATCATCTAGAAACTCCAAATGCAATTCTCATCATTCTGCTAAACAAGCAGCCCAGGTTTTCCTTGTAAGAAATGTGTCTTAGTAAAAGCAGGGTGAGAGGAACTGGCTGGCTGAGTCATTATTTGTGCAACTTGTGGTTTCCCAATTTTCAAACACTAAAAAAAACACTCACACGCTTTTCCAGGTCCATTTCTGTATCCAAGGAACAAATAAAAACTGTCCATATTCTTTCTTTCTATTTTTTCAGTATGAGATTTCTGAAGTTTCATGTGTTATTTTTCTACCTTTCTTATTAAGTCTGAGGCAAAGCCCTCTTCATTGTTTTAACTAATCACACTTTAATACTACATATTTAGTGAGAAAAAGAACAAAAGAGAAAGTGATTTGTTCAAAAGAGATATTTCATAATTTTAGTAGTTTAACCTTAAACCTCCACTTCTACAGCCAGCCCAAGGCTGTGAATGTTTGAATTCATTGTTTCTCTGGGAGCACATGATTTGATTCTTTAATCAAATCTAGAGCCATTGAATCCTAAACCAAACATCTACCCTTAATGAGAAAAGAACCACACAAAAACCAGAACATGGAAAAGAAAAATAATCAGGTGTTTAAAAAATTTGCAAGTACCACTGTGATATTCCTCTTCCTACAGATATGCAAGCAAGATGATACTTAGTAGGACAAACGCTGAAAGTGCCAAAGGACTTTCAAAGACTAAAGTACAACATGGTAAATTATTTGTAGAAAATACAAGAATTAAGCCTTTTAAAAAGCTATCCACCACTACCCCTTTGACTGAGCCCCAGGCCTACAGTGCACCTGTGCGGTTGAAGACATAGGGCCTCTCTCACACGGGCACTCATGAGGGGCTCTGCCTTTCACCCGTGTCTCTAAACTCTGTATTGAGACTCAAAATTTTAAAAAAAGGAAAAGAAATCAAACCTTCTGTCTCACAGGTAAACTGAAGTTTTAAGAATCAAATGCCCAGTGTTTGATAAGGGTAAAATGGGACCCACATGATAGTGGTTTTCCCGGCACCGTTTGTCCCCAGCAGGGCGGTGATTTGGTCTCTGTAGAAGGTCAGGCTGAGGTCTTGGACCACAGCCTTGTGGCCCTCATATTCCTTGGTCACAGACACCAGGGTGACTCCCGGGGCACTTCCTTCAAGCTCTCCTTCCCTGTTTTGCAGTGATGACCCTGTGAGAGAGATGAAAATTCATTGTGAAAAGACTTCAAAAGCCCTAAAAATAATGCTCATATTTATTAATTCAGCATTCTGCTTTGAAATTGAATTCCAGCTCTGTGAAGCACACAAATCAACTCAAAAATCTTTCTTTAGCAAGAACAAGAAGCAGACTATATAATGGCAAACATTAAGTGATATCACTGATTACAAAGTTTTGAACCCTTATGATAACCATTTTGTAAAAAATAAAAAAAATAAAAACACACACATGTATTTTTGTTTAAGTAGAGAAAAAAACAACAGGCAGATTAGTTACACATAAAATGTTCATGAGAAATAGTCTCCTGAGGACGTGAGAGTGGATAGGTGCTTGTTGATGTGTTCCACATTTTCTAAAAGATTCATAATTCAGAAAAATATTTAGATTGTTTAGATTAGAATGTTGACTTGTAATCTAAACCCACCACGATGGGAGCTTGTTTATCTCTGAGTGATGCATCTCTATTTCCATGGAGATGGCCTATGGATTCATCCTTTGGCAGAGGTGCCCTGTGCCTGCACCTGCAGGAACAGGCCATGACTCTGGAGTGCAGAGGCACAGGGACAGTCCTGCCCCTATCTCCTGAGAACCACAATCCCTATTTGTAAGGGACAGTGATATTCTCCCTCACACAGGAACACTGAATAAACCAGCATGGGTGAGAACACTTAAAAATTTTTAAATGCTTTACACAGGGTAGCTGCCCATATTTGCTTTTATTTCTTACACATATTCATTTTGGGACTAACGCTTCAATTTTTCTAAATTGTAATATACACACAAATGCACATAATGCACAGAGGGGAGGACGCTAAATAATAATTAATGGGAACTCCCTGGGTTTCCTGGGTTTCACAGAACAAACACTGTCATGGCATACTTTCCCACATCTTGGGCTTGCAGCTGTTTCCCAGCCCAAGACAGCCTAAATGTAAGTCTCTCTAGGAATCAGCACACACTTGAAAAGGCTGGACCATAAAAACAAACAAAAAAAAATCAAAATGGATCAAAGGAAAAATACATGCATCTAATAATTCTACTCCTTACAAACCTTTATTGTCAAAGTTCTCATTGAAGAAGAACAGACTAGAACTTAGAAAGTATTGCCTTTTCTCCACCAAGAAACCCACACTCTTCCAATATGAGGCAGTAAAGGGGAAATACCATGGTTTCCGTAAACCAAATGTTCCTAAAAAATGAAACAATTAAAATTAGTTTAATTTTTTATTTAGATGAAGGTACTGTATTAGAATATCTTAAGTAATTAATATAAAATGTCATCCCATGTTAATATTTTTAATATATGTCCCATATACAAAATGTGATATCCCAGGGCACAGCTATTAGTTTTGCAGTGGAGCCCTAACTCTCCCTTCTCGGCCTGATCCACAGCCATGTGCTAAAACCCCCTCTCAGCCACTTCCCCCAAGACTTTATCTTTAGAGTAGGGGTTCAATACATGCTTTTTGGATAATTGCTGAATATTCCCAGAGTAAAGTCCCACCCTGCCCCACACTGCCCTTCTATTTTGTGATTGTTCTTCTTTTGCCTATCTTTGATGTTTGCATGGATTCCTAGACAAGAGGAAGAGCATGAGGTAAGTGTAGGAGGGGATTAATCAATTGAAATTTCCATAAAGAAGAATAATTCATAATGCTAACATTTCCATATGAAACACGTTACCATTCTTCAAAAGTATTCTCCAAATTCATTTCAGCCCATTTAACAGTCACTTTGCCCTCATTACATGTTGAAATGAAAAGGGATTTCATTATTAACATTTCCCAATTTTCTTTTAACACATCCATTCTAGTTTAAGTTTGATGAACGTAACTTACCTAAAGGCCTAAATTCTACAACTGATTAGAATTAAAAAGGCTGATATAAAGACTATTATAGCACTTTGATCATCAAGCAGAAGAGAGATATGCAAGCCCTCGCACATTCTAATCAAAAAATAGAAAGAGATGTTCATGCACTCAAAGGAGAGCACATGTATCCATTACCTTTTGAAAGTAAAGGGAAGGTCTGCAAAATTTTCCTCCAATTCTACAGAATGGGAGACATGTCTGTTTACTCTGTCAATAGTTTCTTTTGCTGTGCAGAAGCTCTTTAGTTAGATCCCATTAGTCAATTTTTGCTTTTGTTGCAATTGCTTTTGGCATCTTTGTCATGAAATCTTTGTCCGTGACTATGTCCTAAATTGTATTAACTAGGTTGTCTTCCAGGGTTTTTATAGTTTTGGGTTTTACATTTAAGTCTTTAATCCATCTTGAATTAATTTTTGTATATGGCAATAAGGAAGGGGTTCAGTTTCAATTTTCTGCATATATCTAGCCAGTTATCCCCATACCATTTATTAAATATAAAATCCTTTCCCCATTGCTTGTTTTTTAGGTTTGTTGAAGATCACATAGTTGTAGGTGTGCATTCTTATTTCTGGGTTCTCTATTCTGTTCTGTTAGTCTATGTGTCTGTTCTTGTACCAGAACCATGCTGTTATGGTTACTGTAGCCCTGTAGCATAGTTTGAAGTCAGGTAATGTGATGTCTCCAGCTTTGTTCTTTTCGCTCAGGATTGTCTTGGCTATTCGGGCTCCTTTTTAGTTCCATGTGAATTTTGAAACATTTTTTTCTAGTTCTGTGAAGAATATCAATGGTAGTTTAATGAGAATAGCAATGAATCTACAAACTGCTTTGGGCAGTATGGCTATTTTAATGATATTGATTCTTCCTGTCCATGAGCATGAAACGTTTTCCATTTGTTCTTGTCATCTCTGATTTCTGTGAGCAGTGGTTTGTAGTTCTCCTTGTAGAGATCTTTCACCTTGTTAGGTGTATTCCTAGATATTTTGTGTGTGTATGGCAGTTGTGAATGGAAGTTTGTTACTGATTTAACTCTGGGCTTGACTGTTGTTGCTGTATAGGAATGCTTAACTATGCATCTGACAAAGGTCTAGTATCCAGCATCTATAAGGAACTTAAATAAATTAAGCAAAAAACAAACACTCCATTAGAAAGTGGGCAAGGGATATAAAGAGACACTTCTCAAAAGAAGACATACATGGGGCTGATAATCATATGGAAAAACCTCAACATCAATGATAATTAGAGAAATGCAAATCGAAACCACAATGAGATACCATCTCACACCAGTCAGAATGTCTATTATTAAAAGGTCAAAAAATAACAGATGCTGGTGAGGTTGTGAATAAAAAGGAATGCTTATACACTGTTGGTGGGAGTGTAAATTAGTTCAACTATTGTGGAAGACAGGTGGTGGTTCCTCAAAGACCTAAAGATAGAAATACCATTTGACCCAGTAATCCCATTACTGAGTATATACCCAAAGGAATATATATCATCTTATTATAAAGACACATGCCCATGTATGTTCTTTGTGGCACTATTCATAATAGCAAAGACATGGAATCAACCTAAATGGCCATCAACAATAGACTGGATAAAGAAAATGTGGTACATATACACCATGGACTACTACTATGCAGCCATAAAAAGGAATGAGATCATGTCCTTTGCAGGGACATGGATGAAGCTGGAGGCCATTATCCTTAGCAAACTAACATCGTTAGCAAAGGAACAGAAAACCAAATACTGCATGTTCTCACTTATAAGTGGGAGCTGAATGATGAGAACACATGAACAACATGCACTGCGGGGAACAACATGCACTGGGGCCTTTTGGAGGGTGAAGGGTGAGAGAAGGGAGAGGATCAGAAAAAATAACTGATGGGTACTAGGCTCAATACGTGGGTGACAAAATAATCTGTACAATAAACCTCCATGACACACATTTACCTATGTAACAAACCTGCACATGTACCCCTGCACTTAAAAGTTACAAAAAAATAAATACATAAAGTGAAGGGAAGCTGTTCAGCTGCTGTGAGGAATAGCACTGACTTTTCTTTGTGGGCTGAGTTGTATCTCCGCAGGTTTCATATGTTGAAGTTCTAACCCCCTGTACTTCAAAATGTGACTGTATTTGGAGACACGGTCTTCAAAGAGGTAATGAAGGCAAAATGAAGTCACAAGAGCGAGGACTAATCCAATGTGAGTGGTGTCCTCATAAAAGAAAATTTGGACACAGATACACAGGAATGACACAAGGAGACAATGCCATCTGCAAGCCAAGGAGAGTGGCCTTGGGAGAAACCAGTCCATATATATACCCACATACACAGGCCTACACCTTGATCTCAGACTTTTAGCCTCCAGGATTGTGAGACAACACATTCCTGTTGTTTGAGCCACCCAGTTTGTGGTACTTTGTTATGGCAGGCTGAGAAAATTAATGCAGGCAGGTGTCCTCCAAGAACCTTGCAAAGCAAAAACCATCCCTCTGTAGGAAGAGGATGAGTAGCAGCTGGATAATCAGGTCATATCACAGCCAGCATTCCACTCACTGTGTTCCAGGCACTGTCCAGGGTATCTGGTTGTATTAATTCACACAGTCCTGTGACCACCAACATGTCAGGTAAAATTATCACCTCTACCTTCCCAATAAGAAAAGGAGGAACAGCAAGGGTTGCCCAGTGACGCGCAGCTGATGGCTCCAGAAGCTACACACTGGTTAGCCTCTCCTCTAGCAGCTCCTGCCTGTCTGAACACGCAAGTGCAGTCATGAGGATGCTTTGGGTTGCCTTTTACAACAAGAAAGAAGCACAGTTTCTTCCAGTACCAATTACACGAAAAGCCCCTGTTGACACATACGTGAACAATGAGTGTGTGGAAATCAAAGGAGACAGAAAGCAAGCAAACACATCAGGAAGATTATTCTCACAAAGCTGCAGGTCTTCGGCTCAGAGGCCTCTCAGGCAACCACACTCAGTCGCAGCTTAAGTGGGCACCACCCTTAGCAAGGATAGTAGGCAATGGGATCCAGATGCCTTCAAGTGTTTATAGATTTGAATTAGCAATTAAAATTCTAGGATTCTAGATGACACAATGACAAAGTGGGGACACACATCTGAACATAAATATATTCACTGTAGCATTACTTATAGTGGGGAAAAAGCAGAAATTATTTAAACTTGCAAAGTAGGAGAAAGGTCCAGGAAGTTATTACTTTCATTTAATGAAATGTTGAGCAGCCATTAACAGTACTTTCAAAGATGTGGATAAATGCTTATGATAAAAATATTTTTTTAAAACAGAGGGAAATTTACATATACAGTGTGAACCCAACTAGGTGCAGAAAACTGTCTGGAAAAAGCCTGGGAAATGTTAGTTCTGGTTGGTGATATTGGAGATAACTGAATTTTTTCCTGCTTCCTCAAAAATTTTTCCTGCTTCTCTATAAACTTTTCAAACATTTTACAATAAACACATATCCATCTGATGTATTATAGCTCAATTTTTCAGAACCATAGGGGAGAAAAGAATATTTCATACATGCACATTCTAAAGGTGAAATAAGGCACAATTTGCCTGTTCCAAATGAAGTCATTGAACACCTTCACATTTTGAGTGTACGCAAGGAAATCCTGAAGCAAGCCTCAGCTCTGCTTCACTTCGATATAAGTGGAAGTCGTACAAAGATAAATATGATTTCAAACTTAGGGCCATGACTCAAAGTGAAGATCACCATACGTGTGTGTGTGCACACACATACGTATACCCACATACATATGCACACACACAGGCATTCACACACGAGTACACATGTACACATGCACATATTCATGCAGCACATGCACACATGTACATGTACACAGACACAAGTGTGCACACATAGACAACTGCAACAATGTCAGGAGTCACCAGTTTCTTGCAATGGAGCTAAGACATTACTCTTTATTAGTTGTATCCTTGTTTTCTCACTTGAGTCTTTGGGAAATGACACCTTCCTGCAGCCCTGATTTACTGTGGGAGATGCTTTGTTGAGAAATGAATAACTAAGCATTTTGTACAGAGGTATGAGGAGAGATGCTGGCTCATCTCCCAGGGCTCACAGTTCCAGCTGTCAGCCCAAGAATGAGTAGGACAGGTGAGGCCTCAGCACAGTGACAAAGGAGCAGGGCAGAAGTCACCTAGATCTGGAACATCATATCCCTTGCCCTTCTGTTCTCCGGATTATACCTTCCTGTTCCAGGAAGATGTCAGTCATCAAACAGAAATCAACTAGTCACACCCTCTAGTGGTACGAGGGACACGCCAATGAATCAGGCAGAGACTGCGCCTTCTTATGACCTTCATTCTAGTACAGATGACCAAAAAAAAAAAAAATCATTGAGAGAAGAATACAAGATGATATTGTCATCATAGGTTTCCACCTATGCAAAACAAAAGCAGGCCCTTCAACCCAAGAAAAAGGAATGAGAATGAAAAGACAGAGATGCTGGGAGGGATGCTAGATTCAGAAAATACAAACACAGGATGTTCAATTAATTTTGAAATTCAGACAAACAACAATTAATGTTTTAGTATGAATATGTCCCCCAAATTATTTGTAGTTTATCTGAAATTTGAATTCACCTGGGTGCCCTGTATTTTATCTGCCTACCCTGTGTGGGTGTGCTGGGCACATTGAAGACTGCCCCCCAACTCCCCATCAGCACAACGGGAATAGAGAGAGGGGCGTGAATCTGCAGCAGAGCAGGTTCGGGTGGCCTGAGAGCCACTGAGGATATTATTTATTCTCTAGACATTTTGGAGTTGGGGAAGACTGTCATGCAGGGGAGGGACATGGTCTATTTGGTCTATTTTTAAGAAAGATAACTTTGTGTCAACATGCAGGTAGGATGCAGAGGTGAGGTGCTGGGGTCGGGGATACCTAGAGGAGTAGGAAGGAGTTACAAAGGCACTGTAACTCGCTGTAAGTCCAGATCAGGCACAGTGAGGCCTGAACTAAGGTAATGGCTTCAGGGATGGGAAGTAGAAACAAACGTGAAAGACATTCCAGAGTTATGAAAAAATAAATTGAATATTAAGGGTTGCTTTGCTAATTAAACCATCTCAGCCATAATCTGTCTGGACTTTTAAAACCCCCTAATTAATCTACTAATCTAACTAAAGCAGAGAGCTGCCAAATGCAAGCTGGCGTGGAAGCCGCTCAGCTCTTTGGCTTGCCTCTGCAATCGGCTTTTGCTTATAAATTCAAATTTGTTTTACGTGCACACTCTAGAAGCACATACAACCTGCTCACATTACCAGATGTAATTGGGCACATTAATATGTGCAAAGGCCCTCCATTTACACAGAGCTTTTCTCCTCAAGGGGAACTGCCTGCTGGCTTATGCAGGCCAGGAAACTAATCAGCATTGCCCCCCAAAACTGACAGTGATAAAAGAAGAGGTCAATGAAATTAGACAGATCGAGCAGAATCAAATTTAATTGGAAGCATATAAAAAGAGTTTATGCAATGAAAACTCTTCGAGAGGACCAGATGTTTGCTTGTGAGCTCTTGACTCGAGCGTGGAGACCTGCAGTTGACGCTGAGCCCCGCAGGCCAGGAAATGATCTGATGCTGGATCTACAGAGTCTCCCAGTCAGACACCGGGGCTGAGAAATGCTGGGGTCATACTCACAGGGTCACTTTATAACAAAGAAAGAAAATCGAGAGAAAAGTATTTGTCTGAGGTATGGGGTGTGTGCGTGCGTGTGTGTGTGTGTGTGTGTATGTGTATGTGTGTGACAGAGAGCAAAAGAGAGAAATTTCTCACCTGCCTCCTGCCTCCTACCTCCCATCTGGAGACACCCTCCTACCCACAGGAGACTCTGGAACAGTGTTTTAAAATATAGATTTTATTATTACTCAAGTATGATGATGCCAACAAATCAGGAGATAACTGTCATTGAAACTACACTTTGTTACTCACAGACCCCAAGAGAAGGAGGCATGACACACCACACAGGGTCACACAGGGAAGCACCAGTGTCAGTCAGGAGACAGGGGAAGTAGGGAGGGGTGCTGTGGGAATGTGAACAAGAGCCTTTACTGTGGTTTTCAAGGGAAGGAACATGTGAGGAAGGGCAAGTACATTTCTAATTAACTACTGTGAATAATTTCATCAGGCTCTTCGGGAGAGAGTCTGTCCCTAGTTGGCTGGTACCTTGCCCTGGGCTGATCAGGCCAGGTGGACAGTGACCCCGAGTGTGATCGCCCCGTACAGCAGGTGGTAGGGGCGTGGGCTCTGGATTGGTTTTTTGCTTGTGAAAGGCACATCCACAGGTGAGTCCTTTACTATGGCTAGGAACTGGCTATCCCTGGAAGGAACAGTCCCTCTAGGGTCAGTAACTGCACTCCTTCAACCCCAGTCAAAGCCTCAAAAATACAGAAAATAAAAAAGTATGATTAATACAATGGGGATGGTACAATTGCCTTTAGTGTGCAGATGCCTGGGTTAGTTGATACCCTACAAAGTGCAACAAAGAAATGTCCTTGACTTGCCTTCTGTGAGCCTGATCACACACAGCCGTGCAAATGCAAAGTGTTTCATGGTTATTGAGCCTAGGACATATAAACTCAAAGTTTCCGTGCAGTTTCAGTATACACTAAATTTTTCAGAAATTCAACCACTGTGTAAACTAGTGGAAGATTATTTTTTAAAGCAGAAATTGTCCATTGTTTTGGAAAACAACGCCATCAATAGTGATGTCACTCACTGCGTTTGAGTTTGCAATGCAGTATGTCTGTATCAATCTTCATTCTGCCCCATTATATACAAACACATGACAAAAGATGTGAAGATTGCTTTTAACAAACTTAAAACCAGATATTCTTGAATAGTAGAAATTTAGAAAATGCACTAAATTGTATTAATAAGGGTTAGTAACTATGTTACATTGTCATTTGATATATATATTTTAAAACTGTATAGCACAATAAGACCATTTGGTGAAAATTACACATTGAGATGATTAACATGAGGCTCCCTATTAGTTTTCAATCTTATTTTGATGCTGTTCCCAGATATTCACCCCTTGGCTTCTCTATAAAACCCTCTTATATTATTAATATTATTCCTTTGTCCAATCAGTCCTCTATTTCCTGTCACTACTAAAGAATAGATCTCCAACGTCTTTAAAGACTGGAGGCTGAATGGAGAAACTGAAATGAGATAGAATTGTAAGACAGAAAATGGATCTTCTGTTATGTTTTGTCATTACCTGCCCCATGTGTTAACAAAGGGAATTTCCTGATTACTTTTAAATAAAGACCCAGGTCATTTACAAAAATATCATTCTTTTATTCACTTCATTCATGTATAATATTTCTTCCCACGTTTTTCCTACTTCAACTGAAGTTATTTTCATCTTTATAATCACATACCAATAAGTCTGATCTAGTACTACTTAATATTAGCTTTACTTCTAGTATCTACATTTCTCTTTACTTATGCATTTTCTTTCCTTTTAGTGCCAAATGGCTTCTGACCTTTCTCCTTCTTTTAAATCCGAACTTATTCCACATAAGCATAAGCAACTGAATATCTCATTCTGTGTTCCGATGCATTCATGCCTGAGCACCGAGAACTTACTATAAATTAGTTTCTATTTCTCTTTTATATTAAAATTTTTAAATTACATTAATTTTAAGACTCATATGCAGGTAGTTTTCATTATCCATAAGTTTCATTTCAAGAGAGTAAAGGAGGTAATATAAAATATTTCTCTTAAAAAGAAGGTATTGGGTCTGAGACCTCCTAGAAATTATAACCCTCTTTATGGATCTGAAAGCCCATCAGTAGTGTCTGGCAATTATATTCTTTGTTATTATTGGCAGACTTTGTCAAAGTGGAAAAGAAATACTTTGTGCAATTTAAGAATATGCAAATTGCCAACTCTTATTTTTAGCTTTTGAAATAAAAGAATCTGAATTTTGTGATAAAGTCAAAAATATTTATTGACATATTTATTCAGCTCTATGCCTTTGTATTTTTAAATATGTGTTATAAATATGTGCGAGCTTTGATTTTTTTTAAATTCTGTAATAGACTCTGATCTTTTTTCCTAACTAGCTGGTAGCTAAAATTAGTGTCACAATCACAAAGAGAAAATATAAAACCTCCCACTCTAAATTCACTAAACAAAATGTTGAAATGAGTGTCTGCCATTCAAAGGTGGATTGAGGTCCTACTGCATTTGCTTCCCTTTGCAGGGTGTAGGATCCAGTGTATCTGGGAATCATAACTCATTAGAGGTCACAGAATACTTTGTATGGCTTGATGAAAACATGGAGACATTCCCTAGAAAAGGTACATCCGTGTGAACTTAAGGGAGACTTGTGAAGTAAAATCAGCAGATCTTTTTCTCCAGTTGGATGTGGCAGGGTAAGAGCTGATTCTGAAATAGCTCAAGTTTAACATATTGGGTAGATGTTAATCATGAGCCATATTGTGAGACTGCAGGATTGCAGTGTGAGTGTATGAAGATGGTGGATTGTTTGTTTAACCTTCACCTAATGGGAGGGCAGGGAATTAGGAGTCTGAAGGAATGGAAGGACAGGAGGAGATGAAAGAAGGAACAGGAGATCACGGTTTCCTCAGTCGAATATACGTGAGTTCCAAATGTGGCATGGTTCAGATGGCCAAGGTACTTCCAAAAGATTACCAACTCTAGCATTTGAATCTCCTGGTCCCCTGAGGAAAACAATTTTTTTTAATTTCCTCTGAGCCTCAAGTTGACCTCATTGAACTTTAGAAAGAATTTCTTCTTAAAAGCCACCAGCTTAGCCAAACATCCCCTGACCCACAGGATAAGGAACGACTCAATACTGTCCCACTGGTGAGGACATTCTCACCATCACTCAGCTTTTCTGAGTTCAATTACCTTCCTCCATGAGTCTACTCCCAATTCCCTTTTCTTCCCTTCAAATATGACCTAGACAGTGAGCCCTCTGCACACCAGACATCCACCTCAAGGCTCAGTCTCTTTTAAAACTTTTCAATTTAGAATTCCACAGTGGGATTCAGAGGGAAAGTCTCAGCTGAATACAATGTTCCTTTGCTTTACCATAATGTAGAAAAATATTGCCCCAAGAGCCTCTAGCCTTAGATGCTGATGGTTGAGGGAGAAATCAGATCATTCTGGGTCCCGGGACACATTTTATCTTCATCTCAACATTGCAGAGAGTAGACTTTGTTGCTGGTCTTTGTATTTTAGATGGACATCACAAATGTATTTTGTAACATTACTTTCTTATGTTATTTTTGCTTCTTCTCAATAGTCAATTGCTTCTCATCCAATTTCCTTGAACCCTTGGCCTTCTCAACTCATTTGTTTTATCCTTTATTTCCTAGAATCTTATTTCTTAAGTTTTATTTTCTTAAATTTTATTCAAAGTACCAAGACAATGCAGTCTAAGTTTTTCCTAAATAAATCACATTTCCAATTTATGTTCTCTCTCTACCTCTTGAGGGCCATATATTCCTACTTTTGTGTAAAATGATCTTTTCAGTGGCCCATATTATTTTTATGTTTACCCATCCCTAAATGATTCATGAGCTCTCCAAGTCTGGAATGTGTTTTCACAAACAGAATGAACTGCATTTGTTTTCTTTCTATCCCTCCATTTTCATTTGTATAAGATTAGAATCATTTTTTTTAATTTTTAGTTTTAATTTAGTTAGACACTATTTGCTTTGAAAAGCATAGAACCAGAGTTGCCAAGTAATTTCAGCAAGAAAATACACCACCATCAAAGTGTTATCTCTAAAAAATAAAATAAGTAATTTTAAAGTGCTATTTCTGCTCTTTCGGGCCTGAACCAAAAAGGTAAAGGTATGCGTGCCTCTTTTCCTCCCAAAACAGCTAGGAAAACCCATTACCATTACTGGCCTTTTTTTTTTTTTTTGGCCATTGATATACTTGTCCTCCAGACTCTGGGGCATGCCTGCCACACCAGGGAAGAAGGGCACCACCACATTTGGGAAACCCCATATCCGTGACAACAGTGAAAGCCCTGTGGTTGGACATGGCCCCTCACTCCCAGCCCACCCTGTCCAGCTGCCTTTAGGCTCTGCCTGCTTCTCCCCAGGTCCTGCCATGCACCGACCTGCCACTGGCTGAGCGCTTGGTCCCTAGATCCCCACTAGGAGTGACTTTCTGGCCAAGGCACTCTGAGCACCCCCACCCTCACCCCCTCATGCCTGCCCTCCCCAAACACTCTCTGAGAAACCAGGATATTTTCTGTGTAGACTGAAGCCCACTTTTGGGGAGCTGCTTGGTGGGCCTGGTGAGTTTTCATGCTAATTTCATCCTGGCTATTCCCTCACATGGCCTTTTACCTTTCACTTGGGAAACAAAGGCATCACATTTTTTCTCAAAAATGTACAGCTCCTTTTAAATATATATCCTAAGACTTCCCTTTCTGGATCTTCCTTAAAGAATAAGTGATTATTCTAATATTTATGCATATTAATTCAAACTGTTTTTAAAATTTATTGTGTTATCTTACAAAAGGCAAAATTCTTACCAGGAATCAAGTTGCTCAAGTACCATCCACACAAAAAATAAAGGCTTGAATCAAAAAGAATCATCCAGCAAACCCAGCCAAATGTCATGCCCCCTTGTTCCAGAGCCTGGTACATATTATTCCATTGAATCCCTAGCAGGAAGAAAAAGGTCAGAGTTAGAACTGCACAAGCTCTTTTATGGTAGATTTTGTCATGATGAGTTCATTACTTCTGGAAGCTCAAGTGAAGTTGAACAGAACTAAAACAAAAAGAAGGTCAATATCACTGGCCATAACTTTTCATGAAATGTTAACTTGTGCAATCTTACACCTATTTCAATGATATCAGGTGGGGGGATTGTTAACTACTTTTTAATATCTAATACTTTAAAAAGTTTTAAAGGTCACCTTACTCATATCTGGTTTTATTTACCTGAGTAGAAAGGACTTTATATTTAAGGAAAATAAGCATTCAAAAAAATTTTTTAAAGTCTCCTTGAGAACCCAAATTCTAAACTGTGTAACTCTCTGTGCTCTTGGAAAATATATAATAGGATATATAAGAACTAGGGTGGGAAATTATTATTATTTTTTTACAATAGGTTTGTGATTTATTTCTGGATTAACATACAACTTAAGAAAAATATTCCCCTTTCTAAATTTCCCTATGGTACCAGGCTACAGTTCAATAAAATATACATTTTAATCATTGTGTACTTGGAATTTAGACCAAAATATTCAAATGGTCTAACAGTTTCCATTTTTTGTTTCTATCATTTTGATTCAATTTATTCTAAAGATCAGTTAGAAGAAATCATTCAAGATTACTCATCTGTAAAAGAACATTTTAATACATCTTATTGAAAAACTCTAAGAACTCAAAGACCAGTACAAATTAACTGGCTAATACAACAATAGCTAGAGTCAAATTTTACTTATAGCATGGTTTTACCTCTGTTTACAAAAACACCCCCCCCCAAAAAAAACCATACAAATATCTATGAAATATATGTCTGTTCTGGTTTAGAATTTTAGTTGTCAAATTCTCAATATAAGCAAAAAATGCTGCCAATAGATTTTTAGAAAATCATTTTAGCCTGCATTGGTATGAGATAATTGCACTCTATTTTATGCTTATTAGACCTATTTCTGGATCTTGATCTTCAGGAACAATCTAGTAAATCTAGGAGTAAAGATGAGAGCCAACAAATATGTAGATGGTGGTCATGTGAAAGGGATAATTAGAAAGGAAGAACTAGAAAACATGGGTAGAGGATCCAGGAAGACAGATCCCAGGTCAACAATCATCTAACACAGTGGTCACTAACCTTTTTGGTACCAGGGACCAGTTTCGTGGAAGACAATTTTTCCACAGACCGGGGGATAGAGGATGGTTCCAGGATGATTCAAGTGCATTACATTTATTGTGCATTTTTTCCTATTATTATTACATTGTAATATATAATAAAATAATTATACAACTCACCATAATGTAGAATCACGGGGAGCCCTGAGCTTGTTTTCCTACAACTAGACAGTCCCACCTGGGGGTGATGCGAGACAGTGACAGATCATCAGGCATTAAATTCTCATAAGGAACATGCAGCCTAGATCTTTTGCATGCACAGTTCACATAACGTTCAGGCTCCTATGAGAATCTAATGGCCCCACTGACCTGACAGGAGGTGGAGCTCAGGCGATAACGTGAGCAATGGAGAGTGGCTGTAAATACAGACAAAGCTTCTCTCCCTTGCCTGCTGCTCACCTCCTGCTGTAAGGCTCAGTTCCCAACAGGCCACGGACTGCTCCATGGCCCAGGGGTTGGGGACCCCTGATCTAACAGATGGACACATTTGCACACCCTATCTTGGAAGGTTCAGAAGGTCACTCACCAGACCAGACGTCAAGGGTGGTATAAGGAAGACCCAAGCATTGGCTGGGTGGTTGACCTGGATAGTGTCTGAAGCAAGGGATGCCATGATTATTCTTGATTGTTCTCAAAACTGGTGCTACCAGATAGTGGGAGGTGTATACAACAGTGAAAGCAAATATCCAAACCTCATTCTGAATGCTCTACTTGATAATGAAGACTTCCTACTGGATCACTTGCAATATAACTATTAATTTCCAAAAACGTGATTCACTGAGAGTCACTTTTTACACATGCATGCTCTTACCTGTCTCTTGTCCTTCCAGGAATGTAATAAAAAATACCCCTTGTCCAAAGGCGGTTGTCGAAAGAAGGCACTGCCCACAGATTGATGGAGAAAAACTGCACGTTAGTGTTTTGATTGGGACCACAGAAAATCCACAACACTTAATTCAAGGAGCGAAGCCATGACAACTTTTCATTCTGATGACGCCCAACCATCGCTTCAGGCAGTCATTTAAATATTTTGATCTGAAAATCTTAGCGGAATGTCAGCCCACTCTGAAAAGCATGATAACAAGCTAGTTTTTAACGTTAAAAGGAATTATTTCTCTTTACCGAGATGCTTGAAGTGTCATAAATCCAATGTATCATACACAGAAATGTGTAACACAAAACAGTGAAAACTGGAATAGAGTAATTTACTATTTTTTATTATTAAGTGAATGCCCTGGAGCACACTGCAGGCTGACTGATGGAATGCATACACTATTCTACACTAGAAAGAAGGTGTATTGAAGAAAAATGTTATTGTATCTCAGTGGAGAAGTCTTATGTTAGAACGAAACCCCATTGAAAAAAATATCTTACATTAAAAAATACAGTGTACCAGAGTTAGATATTTTTTACTTGCTAGAAAGCATTTGAATATGTAAACAGAAAATCAAATTTTATGTGCACAGAACCCACGAATATAATGACTGAAGTAAAATTAAAAATAACACCATCTGAAAATCAGGTCAGATCATGGATGACTCTTTTTCTATGTACAAGGAGTATATGGGGAAGGACCACCAATGGTCCCACTTGTGTTAATTATTCTGAAAACAGCTAATTAACACTAACAGGAAGTTATTGGTTATGGGTTTTTACAAATGTAACATAAGCTAATCAAGACCAATGAACACATACCAATAGATAAAACACTGATGGAATATAACCACTTTTTCATTCTGTATGTATATCTTTGTTGTGAGCATATGGCTAGTAGAAACCAGACAGCTTTGAATCGTTTACTGAAGTTGAAGACAAATCACTTGGCTTTCATAGAAATATTTTACTCTAGGCCCTAAATGAGCAGAGAAGGTGTTTTGCTCCCAATAAGTGAGTGAAGCACTGGGGCCGTCATGAATCCTGTGCTGGACTAAAGGACTTTTAAGGGCCTTTAAATACCCCTGAGCAGCCCCGTAATCTAGGTCTCCTTGACACCTCCCCAAAGTCTCTGTTAATGACTCTGTCTTATCTCTCAACAGACTGCAATTTTAGGAAGTCACTTGACCTGCTGGAGAGAATAAAGTCTTGAGCACAGTGCAAGTGTTTATAGTGATGCCACTGGCTCTCTGAAACAGATCATTTTAATAGTGATGGTTCACCCTCGCTTTGATTGAGTTCCTACTATGTGTCAGGCACTGCGCTTGCCAGCAATTGCCATAAAAGAATGAATACTTTTTTATGTTCTACGTATTTGATGTTACAGACCTGAAAGTGTTATCATACGTTTTTAGGAGGTACATTTTAAATGGATGAGTGACTCTGACATTGCTAACAGAGAGATTTTTCCACTTAATGTGATGTAATTCATAATGTTTCAAGAAAAAATGCTTATTTTTTACTTCTAAAATTGCTTTAGAAATCTAGCTTTTTTCTGTGCATGAAAGAGAAAATAAAGTTATATGCTTCCTTAAGAATGTTGCTTATTTTCCAGAATCTGCAGAAAGTCTCTGTTATGTAAAAACTGGACATTCTTAATGGGCTGCTGTCCAGCAAAAACCCTGCAGTTTCAACGGTTTGCATTTGTGGGTAAGATTTTAAAAAGCAGATATCAGAAAGCCCATGTAGATATGAACATGACAAATTGAAAAAGTGAGAGTGGTGGGATTTTGTCTTGTTAGATAGATTGCAATTTTGTTGTTTTTTTTTTTTTTTTTTACAAAACAACTTACTTACCAGAAATGTCTGATTAACAAAACTTAATTGGTTATGTAGAACCAATAGAACTATGTAGGGCAGAAAGCTGATCATGTACACCAGGCTGGTACAAAGGGCCGCTGTATTAGCTTGGCTGAAAAATGCACTCAAGAGGTAGCTCAGCATGACGACTGACATCCCAAAATCCAAGAGAAAGAGGAAAACAATAAAGGTATTGCTGTGTGCAAAGATGCCACTTGTTTTCAGAACGATGGCCAGAGTAGCACTGCTTATGGTCAACACAGCCATGTTCTCCAGGAACCAGGCCAGGAAATGGATCACTGGATGCACTCCCATCATCCGCATATACTACCAAAAAGAGAAAAAACCCAAGGTTACCACAGCATGCGTACTTGAGGAAGAACAAATCAGATGGTAGGAGAAAGAAGGTGGACCAGTGGAAAGGTAAATCTGCTTGCTTGCAAATTCAGCCCTGTGAAGGGCCCTGGGAAGGACATTGCCTCCTCAAGCTTGGTATTTGATTTTCATGAGCACTTGTATCCTGGAACTTAAAATTAAATTAAATTTTTATAAAAGAGCCATTCATGACAAACCCGTCGCCAATATCATACTGAATGGACAAAAGCTGGAAGCATTCCCCTTAAAAACTGGCACAGGACAAGGATGCCCTCTCTCACCACTCCTATTCAACACTGTATTGGAAGTTCTGGCCAGGCCAAATAGACAAGAGAAAGAAATAAAGCGTATTCAAATAGAAAAAGAGGAAGTCAAACTGTCTCTTTTTGCAGATGACATGATCCTATATCTAGAAAACCCCATCGTCTCAGCCCAAAAGTTCCTAAAGCTAATAAGCAACTTCAGCCAAGTCTCAGGTTACAAAATCAATGTGCAAAAATCACAAGCATTCCTATACACCAACAGGAAACAAGCAGAGAGCCAAATCGTGAATGAACTCCCATTCACAATTGCCACAAAGAGAATAAAATGTCTAAGAATACAGCTAACAAGGGAAGTGAAGGATGAAGGACCTCTACAAGGAGAACTACAAACCACTGCTCAAGGAAATAAGAGAGGACACAAACAAATAGAAAAACATTCCATGGTCATGGATAGGAAGAATCAATATCATGAAAATGGCCACACTGCTCTAAGTAATTTATAGATTCAATGCTATTCCCATTAAACTACCATTGGCACTCTTCACAGAATTAGATAAATCTACTTTAAAATTCATATGGAACCAAAAAAAAGAGCCTGTATAGTCAAGACAATCCTAAGAGAAAGAAACAAAACTGGAGGCATCATGCTACCTGACTTCAAACTATACTACAAAGCTACAGTAACCAAAACAGCATGGTACTGGAGCAAAAACAGACACATAAACCAATGGAACAGAATAGAGATCTCAGAAATAAGACCACACATCTATAACCATCTGATCTTCGACAAACCTGACAAAAATAAGCAATGGGGAAAGGGTTCCCTATTTAATAAATGGTACCAGGAAAACTGGCTAGCCATATGCAGAAAATTGAAACTGGACTCCTTCCTTAAACCTTATATAAAACTTAACTCAAGATGGAGTAAAGACTTAAATGTACTTTTTTGTTTCAATTTCATTTAGTTATTCTCTCATCTTTGTTATTTCTTTTCTTCTGCTAGGTTTGGGTTTCTATTGTTCTTGTTTCTCCAGTTCCATGACGTGTGACCCTTGGTTGTCTATTTGTGCTCTTTCAAACTTTTTGATGTAGATATTTAACGTTGTGAACTTTCTTCTTAGCATCGCTTTTGCAATATCCCAAAGGTTTTGATAGGTTGTATCACTATTATCATTCAGTTCAGTTAGTTTCCACCTTGATTTCATTCTTGACCCAACAACCATTCAGGAGCATGTTATTTAATTTCCATGTATTTGCATGGTTTTGAGTGTTCTTTTTGTAGTTGATTTCCAATTTTATTTCACTATGGTCTGAGCCGTATATGGCAAACCCACAGCCAACATTATACTGAACAGGGAAAAGTTGAAAGCATTTCCTCTGAGAACTGGAACAAGATAAGGATGCCCACTTTCACCACTACTATTCAATGTAGTACTGGAAGTCCTAGTCAGAGCAATCAAACAAGATAAAGAAATGAAGGGCATCCAAATCAGTAAAGAGGAAATCAAACTGTTGCTGTTTGTTGATGATAATATCATATACCTAGAAAACCCTAAAGACTCATCCAAAAAGCTCCTAGAACTGATAAATAAATTCAGCAAAGTTTCAGGATACAAAATTCATGTACACAAATCAGTAGCTCTGCTATACACCAACAGTGACCAAGCTGAGAGTCAAATCAAGAACACAACCCCTTTCACAATAGCTACAAAAAATAAAATAAAATACTTAGGAATATACCTAAACAAGGAGGTGAACCACCTCTACAAGGAAAACTACAAAACACTGTTAAAAGAAATCACAGATGACGCAAACAAAGGAAACACATGCCATGCTCACGGATGGGTAGAATCAATATTGTGAAAATGACCATACTGCCAAAAGCAATCTGCAATTCAATGCAATTCCCATCAAAACACCACCATTACTCTTCACAGAACTAAAAAAAAAATCCTAAAATTCATATGGAACCAAAAAATAACCCACACAGTCAAAGCAAGACTAAGCAAAAAGAACAAATCTGGAGGCATCACATTATCCGACTTCAAACTATACTATAAGGACATAGTCACCAAAATAGCATGGTACTGGTATAAAAATAGGCACATAGACCAATCGAACAGAATAAAGAACCCAGAAATAAAACCAAATATTTACAGCCAACTGATCTTCAACAAAGCAAACAAAAACATAAAGTGGGGAAAGGACACCCTATTCAACAAATGATGTTGGGATAATTGGCAACCCACATGTTGAAGAATGAAACTGGATCCTCATCTCTCACCTTATACAAAAATCAACTCAAGGTGGATAAAAGACTTAAATCTAAGCCCTGAGACCATAACGAGTCTAGAAAAATAACATCAGAAAAACCCTTCTATACATTGGCTTAGGCAAATACTTCATGACCAAGAACCCAAAAGCAAATGCAACGAAAACAAAGATAAATATATTGGGACTTAATTAAACTAAATGGCTTCTGCACAGCAAAAGAAATAATCAGCAGAGTAAATGGACAACCCACAGAGCAGGAGAAAATCTTCACAATCTATATATCCAGCAAATGACTAATATCCAGAATCTACAAAGAACTGCAAGAAAAAAACAATTTCATCAAAAAGCGGGTGAAGGACGTGAACAGACAATTCTCAAAAGAAGATAGACAAATGGTCAACAAACATATGGAAAAATACTCATCGTCACTAATTATCAGGGAAGTGCAAATCAAAACCACAATGTAATACCACTCTACTCCTGCAAGAATGGCCATAATCAAAAAAATCAAAAAATAATCGATGTTGGCATGGATGCGGTGAAAAAGGAACACTGTTACACTGTTGGTGGGAATGTAAATTAGTACAACCACTATGGAAAACAGTGTGGAGATTCCTTAAAGAACTAAAAGTAGATCTACCATTTGAACCAGCAATCCCACTCCTGAAGTCATTACATGAAAAAGATAGTTGCACACATATGTTTATAGCAGCACAATTCGCAATTACAAAAATATGGAACCAACCCAGATGCCCATCAATCAATGAGTGAATAAAGAAAATGTCTGTGTGTGTGTGTGTGTGTGTATATGTATATGTGTGTATATATATATATAAATGTATATATATAAATGTGTGTGTGTATGTGTATATATATATATATATATATATATATACACATACACACACACACACCATGGGATATACTCATCCATAAAAAGGAATGAAATAATAGCATTCAGAGCAACCTGGATGGAATTAGAGACTATTATTCTAAGCGAAGTAACTCAGGAATGCAAAACCAAACATCATATGTTCTCACTCACGTGTGGGAGCTAAGCTATGAGACACAAAGGTATAAGAATGATTCTTTGGACTTTGGGGACTCAGAGTAAAGGGTTGGGGATGGTGATTGATAAAAGACTATACACTGGGTACAGGGTACACTGCTCGGGTGATGGGTGCACCAAAATCTCAGAAATCGCTACCGAAGAACTTATTCATGTAACCAAACACCACCTGTTCCCCAAAAAACCTATGGAAATAAAAAAATTTAAGTTATGATAGTTTCAAGTTTTATAACAGTATTACAAAAAAAATAGCAGGGTCTCTACATAAAAAATTCTAAGCATAAATTAAGATGGGAAGTCTGCTGCTATGTTTTTCTGGGTTTTAAAAAAGTTGCTGAATGAGGAACACTGGCTTTGTTCTTGCAATCTCATGTGGCTATTCTTTGGCTTTCTTTCATGTCAGTGGAAAATATCTGGCATTGCTTCAGACTTCAACATAAAATCTTCTTTCTGGAACAGGGACTCAGCTATTTTGTACACCAGAACCCCAGCAGAGGAGAGGGAAGCAAAACAGAGAGGCTCAGGTTGGTTATGGGACAAGATCCATTTCCAAAGTCCCCAGCCTCCCTATCTTTGTCTCCCAGGCAAGGTTTAAGGATATTTACCTCTTCTATCTGTATCTCCTGCTCATACACCAACTTTCTGACCATGCTGGCCACAGACACCATCCACGTCAGCATCATTATCAGTGGAAAAAAGAAACCAACGTTGTTCAGGAATCTGTAAGGGGATAATTCAGTCAGCATCCGGAGACAAGCAAAATGACTCTACTAATTTTTTACATTTTTCTTCCAAGTTAGAAAGCTCTTTCAGGAGTGATATCTCCTTTGGTCATTTCTACATGCCTGTGACTTAGGTAGGAGGGCCATGATTGGTGTGCTGATTTTGTAGGTATGCAAATTCATGAAGGAACCCATGAAGGAGACACAACTGGTTCGAGATCTCTCAGAGAGCCATAGCCCAACCACAATACTCTCTGACACCTGCCATAGGCAGAGCAGGTTGGAGCAAAGCAGGTCATTAATCCATGCCTGCCATTTCCCCCATTTAATTGGGACCATTATCTATCTTCAATTATTGATATTAATTGATCACAGATTATCATCTACAAAATACGTGAAAATTGGCAAATGAAAGTCTTCCTTTCTATTTTCCTAACACTCATATTTCAACCCACTCTAACTGGGCTCCATTTCTAATATACACTTGAAATGACTCTTATCTAGGGCATCAATGACAGTCATGCCTCAAAATCCAATGAGAATTATCCAGTCATTTTCCTTCTTGAGTTCTCAGACATGTTGGATGGCATTGGTCATTCCCTCCTCCTCTCTTTTCTCTTAGCTTCCAGAACAACTCCCAGCTTTGCACCCACATCTTGGCAACTTCTCCTTTACCTGCCTTTAAATGTAGGCATTCCTACCTCAAGCTGGACCCTCTGTCTTCTCACCACATACTCTCTGAGCTCTAAATCCACATAATAATTATTTATTCAACATTGAGACCAACTGAAGGTACAAGCCGTGTTACTGGGCTGGTGATACATGAATGAGCCAAACAGAAAAAGGTCCTGCCATTAAGGATCTTTCATTCCAGTGTGTCGGCAAGGTGGGAGGGGACATAAAATAATCCAATAAACACAGAGATTGCTATGTTCTGTCTCTGCCAAAACTCATGTTGACATTTAATTGCCCATGTGATGGTATTGAGAGGTGATGCAGCCTTTAAGAGGTGTTTGGGTTATGGGGTCTCCACACTCATGAATGGATTAATGCAGTTCTCATGAGACAAGTTGAGTTTCCAGGATACTGGATTGATAGATTCCAGGTACTTGAGATAGCTGGCTGTTATGAAGCAGGGTTGCCTCTCATGTATGGAGCGCACACCCTCTTCCCCTTACACTTTCCGCCATGAGTTGAAGTGGCATGACACCCTCAGCAGAAGCTGACCAGAAAGGCTGCCTGATCTTGGACTTCCTGCCAGAATTATGAGCCAAATAAATTTCTCTTCTTCACAGACTACCCAGTCTCGGGTATTCTGTGATAGCAGCACAGAAAGGACTAAAACAGAGATGCATAATATCAGGTAGTGATAAATGCTATGAGTAAAAAAGAACTAGCTTAACCAAAAGTGAGAAGGAATGCTATTTCAGACAGGGTGATTAGCTGAGCTGACAGCGGGAAAAAAATACTCAAGCAGAAAGCGGATGAAGTAAGGAAATGAGTCACACAGGTATCTAAAGGAAGACTGCTCCAGGCAAAGGAAAAAAAAGGGCAAGGACCAGAGGTTGGAGCAAGCAGAACACGGGTCACAGTGAAGCCATCAGGTCCTGGGCTTTTCTTTGATGAAAGACTTTATATTAGAGCAGAAATAAATAAAATGGAGACTAAAGCTTTGATTACTATGGTTTTGTATTATATTTTGAAGACAAGTAGTGTGATGCCTCCAGCTTCATTTTTTTTCCTCAAGATAGCTTTGGTTATTCTGGGTCTTTTGTGGTTCCATATAAGTTTTAGGATTTTTTTCTATTTCTGTGAGGAATGTCATTGGTATTTTAATAAGGATTGTATTGGATCTGCAGATTGTTTTGGGTAATGTAGACATTTTAACAATTTTTTTAATCAATAAGCATAGGATATCTTTTCATTTTTTATGTCCTCTTTAACTTCTCACATCACATCAACATTTCATAGTTTTCTTTGTAGATATCTTTCACTTCTTTGGTTAAAAACAGACACATAAACCAATGAAACAGAATAAAGAACACAAATATAAACCCACACATTTGTAGCCAACACATTTTCAACAAAGGCTCCAAGTTCATACATTGGGAAAAGGACTATCTCTTCAATAAATGATGCTGGAAAAACTGAATAACCATATGCAGAAGAATGAAACTAGAGCCTTATCTCTTGCCATATACAAACATCAACTCTAAATAGATTAAAGACTTAAATGTAAAGCTCAAAACAATAAAACTACAAGAAGAAAATATCAGAGAACTGCTTCAGGACACTGATTCTGGACAAAGACTTTTTGTGTAAGACCTCAAAAGCACAGACAACAAAAGCAAAAATAGACAAATGATGTTACATCAAGCTAAAAAGCTTCTGCAAACAAAGGAAACAATCAGCAAAGTGTAAAGACAACCTACAGAATGGGAGAAAATATTTGCAAAGTATCCATCTGACAAGGGACTAATAGCCTGAATATACAAGAAACTCAAACAAATACAATAGCAAGAAACCCACATAATCCAATTAAAACATAGGCAAAAGATCTGACTCAATATTTCTCAAAAATAAACGACCACAAATGGCCAACAGTTATACAAATATATGCTGAACATCATGAATCATCAAAAAAATGCAAATCAAACCCACAGTGAGATATCATCTTACCCCAATTGAAATAGCTACTATCAAAAAGAGAGAAAATAACAGACGCTGGCAGGGATTTGGAGAAAAGGGAAAACCCACACTCTGTTAGGTGGGAATGTAAATTAGTAGAGACACTGTGGAGAACAGTATGGAGTTTCCTCAAATAACTAAAAAATATAACTACAATATGACCCAGCAATTCCAATGCAGAGTGTATATCTAAAATAAAGAAAATCAGTATATCGAAGAGATATGTGCACTCCCATGTTTATTGCAGACTTATTCACAATAGCTAAGATATGGAATCAACCTAAGTGTTCATCAATGGATGAAAAGATAAAGAAATGTGGCATATATACAAAATGGAATATTATTTAGCAATTACAAAGAAAAAATCCTGTTATTTGAAGCAACACGGATGGAACTGGAGGACATTATATTAAGTGAAATAAGCCAGACACAGAAAGACAAATATATGTTCTAACTCATACGTGGGAGCTAAAAATAAAATGAACTCATTGAGGTAGAAAGTAGAGTAGTGAGTTACCCAGATGCTGGGAAGGGTAAAGGGGAGGGGAAGATAATTAGAGGTTGTTTAGTGTGTACAAATGGAGGGAAGGGATAAGTTCTAGTGTGCAATAGCACACTAAGGGAACTGTACTTAACAATAACTTGTATATTTCAAAATAGCTAGAAGACAGGCTTTGTAATATTCCTAACACAAAGAGATGATTGTTGAAGTGATGGCTATCTCAATTACCCTGATTTGATTATCACACATTGTACACATGTATCCAATTATCACAAGTAACTCATGAATATGAACAACTACTGTGTATCAATAAAAAAGCAAAAAAAAGTTACATTGACTAGCGTGAGAAGCCTTCTCCTAGACCCTATTTCCAGGGAAACAGAAGACGGAGGCTATGTGAGAAATCCATATGTTTTCAGGAAGCACTCTATCTTTGTGGCAATGGAAAAGTAAGCTTTTGAGCTGTAAGGTCATTAATGGCACCTGGTCCTCACCACCACCAGGACCCTCTTGCAGATACCTGGACAGGAATATCCAATTCATTCCAGATGAGTAACAATCACGGTAACAAAAATTTAGCACAACATTTGGGCAAGAAATAAAAAGAGATTGAGAGTTGCATAATTATTAACAAGTGAAAAACCCATGCGAAAAAGTTGGTCTCATTGAACAGATGATAATAGTGAACATACTTTTTGTCAACAATTTAAATATATTTAAACAATTTAAACAAGGCAAGCCCCTCTATAAGAAACACCACACAGCACAATCATTAGAATTGAGTTAATGAGATGGTAAAGTAGCAGAAAGATATAAAATGGGAATTGGAAGAACTTAGAAAAAATATGTGAAAAAAACTAGCCATCAGACAAAGGAGAATAAAATTGGAAGAAACACAGGCCAAATTGATACTGCACAAAATACAGTAAGGGATGTAGAAAATAGGTGCAAGAAATGCAACTAAAGGAAACAGGAATAGAGTTTTTTAAAATGTAAAAATCTATTGATTAGAAACACAGGGAAAAGAAACGCAGGCAATTAAACTCCCTGAAAAAGAAAAACTAAGTATTTCTAAATTTGCAAAGCTAGAATACATCAAGAGTCTCCATTAAAAAAAATTAAAATCTACACATCCAAAGGACTTGTCTTGTCATCATAGAAAATTGTCCTAGAATGTTCAACAATGAAACATACTCTTATAAAATTTATTGCGTTTTCAAGCTACTGGCAGCTTGCCAAAATTACCAAGTTATATAAAAGGGAGAAAATAACAATGTGGCCCCAGATTTCTCCATAATAACATTTAAGACCAAAGACAATTTTTACAGGATACTTAAGGAAGGAATGAACCAAGGGTTTTCTATTCAGCCAAGATGTCCTTCAAATATAAATGCTACAAAGAGTTTTACGTATGTAGGAATTCAGGTTATATTATCTTATGAGAGCTTCTTAAGGAAATTACTAGATGGCAAACTTCATCCCGCCAAATGATGACTGGTAAATTACAGTGAAAGGGCTGATGGTAAGCAATGAGTACATTTTCCTGTAAAAGCAAGACTAAAACAAAAACAGGAATTAAGGTTACAAGACAGATTGGAAATGCTACTATTCCCTGAAATGCAGAAATGATATGAAAAACAAATGGAAGGATAATGGGGAATGAGTTAGAGACGAAGAAAAAGTTGGTGCATGCCAAACTCAAATACTATTTTTTAAAATATTGGCAAATGTAGAATATTAGTATAAGTGTCTTTAACAGTACAAAAGGCAACATTAAGTAAGATTAACAATACCAGCTAAAATTGCATGATGGACAAGAGAAAATATATGATGAAATAAGAGAACATATTTTAAGTTTTTATTGCTTGTGATAAAAAAACAAGGGTTTATATTACTTATATAATGTTATAATTATAAGGTAACCACTACAATAATAATAAAACATTATTAAATATTAGCTTAAAAGAAAAATTATAAGCATAAGAAACACAAGATAGAGGCAAGACTATATATAATTTATAATTGCATTTTATACTATCAAAGAATTAAGGCCACATATATAAGAAGCTATATAATGCATACAAGAGACACACTTGAAACAAAATGCTTCAGAAAAAATTTAAATGAAAGGATGGGCAAAGTCATATCAAGCAAATAGAAACACCAAAAGGCAAAAAAAAAAAAAAAAAAAAGAAGAAGAGGAAGAGTGAAGAGAAGGGAAAAAAAGCAGAGTTCACCATTTCAATATCAAACAAGGTAGAGTTATGTCCACAAAGCATTAAAAGACACAATTATTCATAGTAATGCACACAGTAACAAAGCACAAATATCCAAAAGCCAAACTCCACAGGAAAAAGAGAGAAGGACAACCAAGTAATAAGGGAGTATAATTTACCTATCCCAGTCTAAGACAGATCAAGACGACATAAATTAAGGATAGAAAAATCCTACATAACAAAAATAACACAGACCAAATTCTCTGCCCTAAAATAGGGAATTAGAAATTCTTTTCAAGTGTCTACAAATCATTCACAAAAGTGGGTTATATATTACTTGATACCAAAACAGAAATAATAAGAATCATATTTTGACTGCAATTCAGAAATTAAGATTTAGCAACAGAACTTGGCAATTTAGTATATAATGCAATTTTTGTATTTTGTCCCTCTGATATGTAAAAACATACTATTACAAAGCAGATTTAATTTGTATGTTTCTTATTACAAGTAAGCTGTGTAAACATAGTTTTTCATATATTTAAAATTCTTGAGAATTTTCACCTGGAAATTAAAAGAAGCTTTATTTAAACAGCTCTTGGGTCAAAGAGAAAATAGAAACCTGTACTGCATGCATCTAGAAAACAATAAATTGTTAGCTACATATGAGATCTATGGGATATAAGGTAGGAGTTGAAAGAACAGTCATTACCTTATGTTAAATATATTACCTACATAATATATTTAACTACAAATATTTAAGAAAAAAACTAAAAATAATGAATTAAACTTTAGTCTCAAATTATAAAAGAATATATTGAAGATACAGAAAAGTAAGGAAGTAATAAAAATAAAAGCAGAAAAAGTTAGATGAGACAAAAGAGAGAATTGATGAAGTCCAAATAGGGTTCTTTGAGAAAACAGAAGTCAAATAAGAAAAGAATGAAATAACTTGCACATCATGAATTTTTAAAATAAGGAAAAAGCATGTTAAAAGAGGAGTAACCACACCGAGAGAGGAATGAAGGAGGATGAGTAGGGAGAAAGGGAGAGAAGAAAATTGTTTCATTTTTTGACTTTAATTTCTCTCTTCTAGGATCTTAATAATTGGAAGTGGTTCATATTTAAAGTTGAAGCATTATGTATTATGTATCACCAACAACAACTGCACTGAGTACCAAGTTTTAAAGAGGTGCTGTGATTCTCGTCCCTTGCAGTCTCCACTAGAGCGGGGTCACAGCAGAGCAGATTTAAGTCATTCGTAGTTTTCTTGTCTTTTTTTTTTTTTTCCAAACAGGGTCTCACTCTGTTGCCCAGGCTGGAGTACAGTGGCATGATCTGGGCTCACTGTAGCCTCAGCCTCCTGGGCTCAAGCAATTCTCCCCTCTCACCCTCCCAATTAGCTGGGACTACAGAACACACCACAACGCCCAGCTAATTTTGTTTATTTTCTGTAGAGATGGGGTCTTGCTATGCTGTCCAGGCTGGTTGTCTCATCTTAATACGGTCATAACAATCCCTGCTCTCCAAGCTTCCTCAAGGCAGGACTACATCTTTCCCTACTACATATGTCATGCGATTACAGTGCATGACACATAATAAGTACTGCGTAAATAGTTCCCAAATGAGTATGTAGCACAAAAACTTTCAGGCTAACTCTTGGCAAGACTTTGCGATTTCTAGTTTGTAAAACATGAATCACAACGACAAAGAATGAGGGACTCATCCCAAAAGAAAACATAAATAAACAAATAAGTGTCTATTTGGAACAGGATATTAAGTGTGAATTATTTTCTCTATTTTCTTCACTCTTGAATATCACTTGTTTATAGAACTAAAAATAAAAAACATACACACAAAGGTCAGGGATGTCTCAGTAACCTCAGAAATAGGATTTTCCTCTTATCAGGAGAGCATGAATCAAACTAAGAATCGAGAATATTCTCTGTATGTTTCCCCTTCTCTGGAACCCAAATCAAAGAACTATCTATAAATTATACCATTAGGAAATTAAACTCTCTCATGTCCTTTGTAGGGACATGGATGAAGCTGGAAACCATCATTCTGAGCAAACTATCACACGGACAGAAAACCAAACACTCCATGTCCTCACTCATAGGTGGGAACTGAACAATGAGAACACTTGGACACAGAGTGGGGACATCACACACCGGGGCCTGTCATGGGGTGGGGGAGGGGGGAGGGATAGCATTAGGAGATATACCTAATGTAAATGACGAGTTAATGGGTGCAGCACACCAACATGGCACATGTATACATATGTAACAAACCTGCACGTTGTGCACATGTACCCTGGAACCTAAAGTATAATAAAAAATAAAATAAAATAAAAGTAAAAACAAAAAAGGAAATTAAACTCTCTTACTTCTTTAAGCCTTTCTAAAGGGATACTCTGATCTTCACAAACACTAATTGTCACCATTGCTTTTTCTGCAGGTGGACTTTTTGGTTTCCATTTTAGTAAGCCTTGCTCCTGGTATTTGATCTGTTACTTGCCTCTGTCAGCACTATCAGTGAGTGCAATGACAGAAAAGTCATGGGCGTGTTGGACCAAAGTCTTACTATAGAAAGAACCACCCTGAGAAATCAGCTGGTTTTTGTTGCTGTTGTTGTCTGTTTTTTGTTTTGTTTTCTCAGGATGTAGGACTTTGAGGCAAGTGCAGGGAGGAGGCAAATTTCCAGCCACCACCTCTCACATCAGCCCGGCCTCTGCCCTTCCCTGCTTCTGCCCCTCTCCACCGGCCTCCATCACCACTACTGCCCAGGACCAGTCCACATCAACCATGGGGAGACAGGACATAGCTGGGGGCAACTGCTGAAGAGAAGGACCAGTGCATTTGGCCTCCACTTTCTCTCTCTCCCTTTATCCTCCCTTTCCTTTTCATGGAACCAGAGGCACACTCATGTTGCCCCTGTCACTTGCTAGCTCTGTCTCCGCTGCCTTCCGCACAACACAGCCAGCTGAAGTCTGACGTGATTTGTGAATTGGAGGTGAGTGGAGGTCAGGGAAGGTGAAGTAAGGGGCATTTAAGACTCTAGTGTTCCTGACTCAGCCATTGCCAGAGTCATGCAGATTGACCTTCTGCATCAGTAGGTGGAGGAACTTTCTCAGATTTGAAGCTGCCCAAGAATGGAGTGGGCTGCCACTCAGAGCATCCCACCCATTCACAGTGCCTGGCGTTGCCCCTCACAAGTCTCAAGGTCTCCTCAAGCAGGATAATTCACTGCGCACTACAAGCCAATGCACTGGGCAGACAGCAGTTAATACCCCGTATGAGCTGAGGAGACCGACACCCAAAGCTGGCGCAAAACTGGCCCAAGGTCCTGCGAACCAGCAAGTGTCAAAGCTGGCACCCAAATGCAGTTTTTTCATCCCAGTTCTGTCATCATGTCAAGTCTGAGACTCTAAAGGGATCCAGGAAGCTCGAAAGAGATCGGATAAACTTAGAAGGTGAGATGCACTGTCAAGATCCAATATGTCTAAAGAAGGAGACTTTGAGACCTTAATTCAGACTCTCAGGTCATACAGATTCTACCAAGAAATTCTCCTATATTTTACTAGGTAGAGGAAGGCATGAAATCAATTGTGAGCAACCCAGTGCTGCCACTTTTACAGTATCTGTATCTCCCTTTTCGCCCCTTATTAGTTATGAATGTACACTAACTACTGCATTAAGCAGTGAGTTTCTAGACCTCAAGAACTGCATAGTGCTGATCTCTGCATCCATCCCAGCATAGAATGTGTGTCATACAGTGAATATGAAAACAAAATGTTTCTACATAGATGAATAGAGGAATAACTATATGAGTGAATGATGAAGGCCCTTGAAATAATTTACCAGAGGCAGAGCAAACAGTGGATCTAAATGAGGGTGTTTTGGAATTTGGCTAGGACTATTCTTCATTGCACACTACAGTGTCATTTATCACACAACAATTGTCACCACTGGCCCTTAGGCACTAAACATACACTGGTCCCCACTGTTACCATCAAAACACCCCATACACTTCCAAACTCCCACCAACCAAGGTTAAGAACTACTGCTCAAATCTGAGCTCTGGCTAGGATATAAGAAAACATGCCAGGCAGGCATTGTCCCCTCCCCTCCCCTCCCCTCCCCTCCCCTCCCCTCCCCTCCCCTTCCTTTCCTTTTTCCTTTCCTTTCCTGTCCTGTCCTGTCCTGTCCTGTCCTGTCCTTTCTTTTTTTTCTTTTCTTTTCTTTGAGACGGAGTTTGCTCTTGTCACCCAGGCTGGAGTGCAATGGTGCAATCTCAGCTCACTACAACCTTTGCCTCCTGGGTTCAAGCAATTCTCCTGCCTCAGCCTCCCGAGTAGCTGGGATTACAGACGCGTGCCACCATGCCCAGCTAATTTTTGTATTTTGAGTAGAAACCGGGTTTCACCATGTTGGCCAGGCTGGTCTCGAATTCCTGACCTTGTGATCTGCCCGCCTCGGCCTCCCAAAGTGCTGGAATTACAGGTGTGAGCCACCACACCCGGCCGAAAACATACCAGACTTTCAAATACAATGGAGTGAAATGGCAGCCAAGTGACCAAGCATCCTGCACAAAGTGCTTAAAAGTAGCAAGTGGCAATTAATAGTTTATTTGGGGAGTGAGGGGTATTAAGATGCTGTGAGATCTTGGGGGAAATAACTTACCCTATCAGCGTCTCAATTTCTTCCACTGTACTTTTAAGGTTTTTAGAGAATAAGTGAGATGATTTTTTTAAATGTGATACAATTTTAAGAGATTACTTTGCTGCTGTTGAGGGAAAGAACATAGACAAATTGGAGAAACGATTTGCTGAGGTTTTAATGAGAAACCATCCTCCTCTGCCCAGCAAGGAGATAAGTTTGTAAGAGCTGTGTGGGGCTTGAGAAAGTGAAGAATTGTAAAATTTAATGAGGGTTTTTCTTCTCCTTCCCACTACAGTTGGTATCACCAACAAATTACCTGCGTTGGTGGGACAGGACAGAGCCTGCGGGCAACAGAGGGGGCTTCCAGCAGCTCTGAGCGCTGAGGGTCATCAAGAATGGGAATTTCTGCTGAGAACAATGACTATTGACTAAATGGAAGAGAGAGGTGTTTAATAAAGTTACCTGAAGTAGAGCCCAAGGAAGAGAAACAATCAAAATAAATAAAATGAGAGGTCCTCTCACTGGTCTGTTGTGGATCAAGCTGATTTTTTTTTAAGCAGGAATTCAACATTTCAAGCATGAGTGGCTGTCAACCCTTCACTCTCCACTTTGCCCAAGACACATCAAAGTCCAGATGCAACGCCTCACGGGAGCCATCACTCAGCCTGACCCAGCACGCTCCATTTCTCCTTCTCTTGAACCCACCCCAGGGTGGTGGGAATTGAAGCAGCCAAAAAGCAATAGAGGAAATAACAGGTGACCTTTCAAATAAATATTCTTTGTGCATATAAAACAATCCCAGGATATTGTTGTGGTTTTTGTTTTCTGAAAACCTGTTTATTAAGTTGGCTTATTCTTTGAAGCAACACATTAACATTTGAATTCCTTTATATTCATGAAGTACACACTACAGTTCCAATCATAAAATTATTCTATGATAACTGCCTATGAATCAGGGGGTTGATAGGAACATGCAATTTCAAAAACTGCTGCTGCCTATCCATCTCTACAGTCTCCAGCAACATTTTCCAATGCATGCCTTTCAGGACATTAGTTCCATGAGCTGCTGGTAGATACTACATGAAAAATAAAAGGAGGAGAGAGAGAGATCTGTGTGCAAGAAAAGTGGAAAATTTTTAGTTAAATAGAGTTAAACAGGTTTTGTTACCACAGGTGAATTGCCATGTTCCCACCTATAGTAGGTCTCTCCACTTGTTGAGGTCTCTTCCCCTTGACTAATTCAGGACACAGCTGTCCCCCCCGTTTATACACTACCAATTTTCCCATCTTACTGGACTATTCCCCAGGTAGCATCTTATATTTAAAAAAAAAAAAAAGACTTCTTCCAAAAGAAGAAGAAGAAGTCACCTCCCATTTCTTCCCATTGAGAGCTGTCTGAGTTCACTCTCCAATTCTACCCCTCCAAGTCTCCATTCTGTCCACTCTAATTTGGCCGTCATTCTCACCACATCATGGAAGCTACTCTCTATGAAGTCCTGGATGGTGTAAATCCAATGGTCGATTATCTGTCTTTACCTTATTTCACCCATGAGCCACATATGACACACTTGATCACTCCTCTTCCTGGAGTCTTTTGCTCAGCTTGACCTCCAGGATTCCACACTCTGTAGGTTTTCCTCCTGCCTCAATGATACTTTCTCAATCTCCTCTTCTCATTTACCTCTTCATGGGAGGGGCCCCACATTTGGTCTCGGCCCTCTCTATTTTTCTATCTATACTCCTTCCCATGGTAATATCTTAGAGTTCTAAATGCCATCAAAATCGGGGAGACTCCTAAATTAATAGATCCATACATTGTCCCAGCCTCCTGAACAAATCTGCCTACTAGACATGTCCAAAGCTGAGTTTCTATCCTTATCCTCCAAACCTCTACCCACAGTTTTTCTATTATAGTTAGAGATAATTCCAGCAATCCAGTTACTTGGACCAAAATAGGGGAATCTTCCTCGATGTCTCTCTATCACGCCCTCATCAAATCTTTTGGCAATTCTGTTGCCTCTACTTCCTGAATGCAACCAAGAATCAGACCACTTTTTACCAGCTTCTCTGCTACCACACTGGACCAAGCCACCATCATCTCTCACCTGGGTTATTACAACAGCCTTCTAAATGATTTCTCTGTCCCACACATACCCCTACAAGCTCTTTTCCACCCAACAGCGTGAGCAAGACTTTTACAGTATAAGTCAGATGATGACATCACTCCTGCTCGAAACTCTCCAGCAGTCTTTTAATACCACTCCAGTCACCTGCAACCATGCAATCTACAATCAGCTCTTTGACTTCATCTCCCACCCTCTTGCCCTTGTGCACTCTGCTCTGGTGACTCTTCACACATACCCTAGGCCACTCCTACCACAGGGCCTTTGCATGGGGGGTTCCTCTGCCCTAGAACACACTTCCCCTTGTGCTTCTGCATCCCGTCAAGTCTTTGTTAAAATGCTACCTTCCTGATAGGGTCTACCCCATCCACATTAACAATTCCATCTTCCCCTCCTAGTGTCCCTGACCCTGCTCATCCTATTTCCCAGCTCCACGGCACTTCCTGCTTCCTATCATTCAATGCAATTGTCTTCTTAATTGTATTTGTGGCACCTCTGCTTCCCTGGACTGGAAGTCTCACAAGAGCAGGGATTTTTACCTATTTTCTTTACTGATTCACCTATTTTCTTTACTGATTTACTTATTTTCTTTACTTATTCAGTCTAGAGACTGACAAATAGTACATAAAAGTCATTGAATAAATTCATAAATTAATGAATATGTAGCTCATTCAGTAAGCAGGAGGAAACTGCTAAAAAAATTTTAACAAACATTGTCTACAGTACAAACTGTGCTTTAGGATTTTTACTCAAGTGACTGAGTTCTTTCGAGATCTCAGACTGTGTTTCAATCACTGCAGGTACTCTAAGCCCTCAAGAAAGGGAGACTTCGAAACAAGAGATAAAAGATGGATATAGCACAGTGAGAAATCTCAAAGATTTAAATATTTCAGAGAATTAAAATACTTCTTCATCTTTCTCAAAGAAATAAAGCAATACTTCTGAGGAGTTATATTGCTGTATCCCAGTAGTAGAATAAGAGAGGTAATTCCATGAGATCAGAATCATACCTGGGTATTCCACTCATTCCAACGTTTTAGGCTGGAATGTTTCTCATACATCAGAATTTATCTTCAAGGGGTGAAAAAATATGTCTCCATCCATGTCCCTCAATTCCTCCTTTCTAGCTCTCTTGCAATGTCTGTTAGCCATACACTATGATCAGTAGGAATTGAAAACTGATTACTCAGGCCATTTCTGGATTTCCATCAATACATTTGTAGGAGTGTATGCTGTTCTTCCCATCGTGCCTTCTTGGGAAATATCCTATGTCAGAGTGGACAAAGTAAACCCCCAGTCTCCTCCTGTGAACCGGAGCAGAGGGAATTGTCATGTTCCCATCCACGTAAGCACAACCCCGCTCTTTCATGGGTGGAGATCATAGCATACTTTGGAGCTAGAAGGAGATTGTCAGAATGCAATAGATTTCAGGTTTGCCTTTAGAAAATGAGCATAATAAAACTTCGGCTTCTCCCAGTATCTAACACAGATCACTAATTCTCAGAGCTCTCAGGTGTTTGCACTGGGTATGAAGTGTCTGTGCATGACAACTAGCCAACAACAGCACTTTTCTTCGGTTCTGCTCCTGCTGCTATCACCTCCAAGAAACATGCTTTAGGAGCAGAAAATCACAGGTTGAAAATGTTCATAGCCAAAAATATCATCACTTTGAAAAGAAAGAAAAGCTATCATTTTACAAAGAAAGAAGTTAAGAGGCTTACTAACAGTCTGCCTAACAAGGCAGCCCCTGAGTGAAAATGTCGCCTTAGTCTCTTTCTTCCTGACCTTTTGTTCACCGCACCACACTAGGCTATCCCAAGATGAGTTCAATCAGGTGGTCTTCAGCCTTTTATCCTCCCACTGTGGGAAAGTCCTTCCTGTACAACCAGCATTTTCATAAAAAATGTGTGGATGTGCTATTATGTATGCAGCCTATCACTAGACAGGAAGGAGGGGTCAAGACATCAAGTCACCTATCCTCACGTGTGTGTCGCCCAGTCACCTGGAGAGGCAGTCCTGACTTCTGCTTGGTGGTCCATGGCTCTGCCCCAGTCAGGGGTGGGAGGTGCCATGAGTTGTTACTGGCAGTGTTTCGATGAAGGATGAGTACTTGTCCCTGTTCTCATAACTAAGAGAACACGCAAACCGGTCCCTTCAGTAGCCTCATGTTCAGCCACTTACTTCCTAGTGTGCTTTTGAGAGAGGGTAGGAAGGTGGTACCTTCCTGAGGCCCTGCATCAGAGCCAGCATGCAGGGATTGCAAATGAATGACCTACATTATCCAGAGCCAGGCCAGCTGTGGGAGCAGAATGCTTATGAGAACAGTATGCACCATGAGGAAAGTAAGAAATCCAGGCTGAGCCCCACAGCCCACAGCAATACGGCTCACCCCGCTTTGGTGAGCTTTGAAGTCTGTTCATTGTCTGAACCTGCCAAGGTGTCCAAGCTCACCCTCAGGTTCACTGAGCCCCAGTCCGACCATAGTCTCCCGTCCTCTCTGCAAACATCCCCTGCCTGGCCTCCCTGATGGCTGTTTTAATGCCTCCATGATGTCCCCTCCAAGTCCTCTTGTCCAGCTGCTCCAGCCCTTCACTGAGCTTCCCCTCTTCCTATAGATGTCAGCAGCCAAATTACACAATCAAACTCCTAAATGTTCTCATATTACTTCATGGGTACCCAAGCCATGGTCAAGGCCTGTATGGAATCCTTCACCACCCTGTCCAGTATACAGCCTATATCTAAGGATTTGCACTGCAGAGAAAATAACCTCCCTCAGTTTTCCCAAGGTTAGGTAAGTGGAATCTTTTGTTGGACATGCACAGCCCTTGTGAATGTTATTCATCAAATTTATTTTAAGTGTATTTAAAACTATAGATGATGCCTGATGTCAAATTTAAAACTTCACTTGATTGTATTATCTCAACCATTATATTTCTTCTACCTGAAGAGTACAAGCATATAAAAAAAATGAACCTTACGAAATTAAAAAGTGGGGGGTGAACTTTTTTAACAGTGCTTTTTGAAATAACCATAGAAAAACTGAGTTTTCTCTCCTCAGCTAGACAAATGCAAGGCCCTTCTCACTGTCGGTGGCTCCTGCCCCAGGCTACTCACAGGTCGCTGGTATGGCAGGGGTAAGGGGCCGCCTGAGTCTGTGCTGCTGGTTCCAGGGCTTCCTGCCCAGTCTGCACCAAAATGATGGCTCTTTCGATCATGTCTTGCAGTGGGGCAAAGACGTAGTTATATTTGAACCCATCAGCTGGTAGATTCTGAGGGTGGAACTTCCAAGAAGGGTTTTTTACCACATCTGTTCGCACGCTGTATAACACATTGGTCCGGATTGTGTATGAGACATGGGGTGGCAGTTTGACAGACTCTGATCTGAAGTTCTTGTCGAATAAGGAATTGCTGAAAATGATACCTAGTGGCAGAAAAGGAAAAACGAAGCATTACCACACTGTAGGGAGTGGCTCAAACCACGCCTACACTGGGTGAGACAGGAAAAGTTGCAGGAGCCTGAGACTCACAGCCCTCCACTCCTGCAGACTCAGAGCCCCAGCCCGCAGTGGCAAAGCTGACTTTCAGTCACACAGGCAATTGGTGGTAAGCCTAAACCAAGATCTCTTAATTCCCTGTCCAGTGCTGCTTTGTATTTTTCATAAAAGCAAACTGTGGTATAATCAACACAAAGAAATTATTTGTCAGATGTTTTTTGCAGGGTTTTTTTCTCTTGATTGCAGATGTTAACTCAATGTGCAGAATCCATCTCTTTGGGGTTACTTATCATTCATAACTTAAATACATGGATTCTATTTTATGCCACACGGATTCTTTGAATTGTATGCATAAAGCCTATCACAGCTAAATCGTGTCCCTTACTAAATTCATATGTAGAAGTCCTAACCCCCAGTACCTCAGAATGTGACTATATTTGGAGATAACATTTAAAGAGTAATCAAGTTAAAATGAGGGCCATTAGGGTGCGCCCTAACTCAATATGAAGGTGTCTTTATAAAAAGAGGGAAACTTAAACACAGAGAAATACATAGAGGGAAGATGAGGTGCAGAAACCCAGGGAGAAGATGGCCACCTACAAGCCAATGAGAGGGGCCTAGAGAAGATTCTCTCCTCATAGCCCGCAGGAAAAACCAGTGGATGTCTCCATCCGGAATATCTAGCTTCCAGCACTCTAAGACAATAAACTTCTCTTGTTTTAGTCTGCGATACTTTGTTACAGCAACCTTAAGAAACTAATACAAAACCTCAATTAAAAATAATTCAATGTGTATTCCAAAAGAATATGAGAGCACCACCATATTTATCTTGAATGGGTGAACAATTAAATAATGGAGCAGAGTTGGCCATTGCCTGCTCTCCGCCCCAACCAGGATATCAAGATACTCTGATAAAAGGAAAGGTGATGCAGGAAATTAGAGTATAACTTTAATCGGGAATAATATAACTTATGGTGTGAGATTTAACTAGAACATGATGTTATAAAAGGGTAAAAGCAGATGCAGTAAATAGCATTGGTCCTAGGATGGTGAAAACGTTATTAGTCACTATGGCATAAGGTACAACTTTTCATTAACCAAGGCAAATATTTCTGCTTCATTTTATGTTTTATCCAAGGTAAACAGTTCTGCTTTATTTTATGTTTTATCTGGAAAGGACTTCTTTTCTTTCTGAGCTATCATAAGACACCTTTAGGGAGAAACTCCCAAAATGACAACTTACAGGAGTTGGCATCTTGGCGAACATATTTTTTCATTGAGTACTTACTGGCCAAGAAGCTGTTCTGCTGCAAGAGTTCATGTGCTTTAGTCTCCAGGATGTCGACAGACTGCAGAGCCTGGAAACGGTTCAGTGCCACGCAGGAAGAGAGATTGACCAAGATGCTGCCCAAGAAACGGAAGCGTCCAGCGCCTGCATGGTTAAACATCTCATCCAGCAGCCCTCCTGAGGAAAGTGAACAGATTAGGACACATCAACTTCTGTATCCCCCCAGTGCTTACCACTCATATAGTGGAGATTGTGCAAATGGATTTGAAAATGAATATGAATTCTTCCACTAAAAAATTGCTCAAAAGAGTCAAATTTTGGTCATATGTGAAATTTGGCATTTACTTGCTGAGTGTAAACTCTACACTTTTATACACATGCTCTGTAACACTGATACATGTACATGAAAAAAAAACAGTTAAAGCACAAAGGGTAATACAGCAGCCTAAGGAAACACAGTTGGAGACAACAGGATAAACAACAGAAGGAAAGTCTACATGTGATAGGAAAGACCCTCTCACAGAGAGTTCAGGGGAAAAAAAAAGTTCCAACCTGGAGTCAAGCAATTCTAAAAAAAACACGCCTTCCCTGAAGCAGTCATTTTGGGAAAGTCATTTTATTAAATTAATTTTGCAAAAGCAATTATCAAGGAGCATGGACACTGAGGAAACCAAATCCTTGTGTAGTCTTTGTCCTGGATCTGTGCATTCGAAACATAAATAGAGCAGCAGAGTAAAGTCGCAACACCTTGGCTATGAATGCTGACATCAAACATTTTCAGGGCAAAAGGCTGAGGATATCTCAGTATTTTCACTCTGGTTTCAGGAAGGAGCTGGAAAAACCAAATGATCTAGAGCAAGGCAGCGTGGGAATGCCCAGAACATGACCTCCAGAGGGAAAGCAGCAGGAAAGATGTATGGTGACAGACAACAGTCTATCCCTGGCCCTGTGTGCAGTCACTGCTTCCTGCTGGCCCTCCTGTATCTCACTGACCTCCTGAACACTCAACTTTCCAAATGATGTGAGCTGCTCCCTGTGCTCATTTCCACCCTCCATCGAAGCTTGGAGCCTACCTGCCATCCTGTGGGCATTTGTCCCCGGACATGGCAGCATCAGTACCCACTGACAGCTGCCTCTGCCTCTCATGCTTGCTTCCCTCCTCTACTGGTTTCCCTGCTCCCAGATCCTCCTGGCTTCCAAGGTTTCTGGATTAAGTCTGGGTTTTGCTTGCTTGGCACCCAGCCCATGTTTGAAAGGGGTGTTGGGGCTCTGTAAAGGGGGGCCAGCCCTGAATAAGAAACTACATGAAGATGCATCTCCATCATCCTGAGGTCTGTAGAAAAATCAGTTGACATGTCCTGGCCTCAACTTCTTCCCTGGTAAGGAAAGATTAGTTTCCATCTGCCAACTTCAGATGGATGAGAACATGTAAGCTGCCAAACAACATCAAGAAGTGTCGGGCTCCTTCTGCCCTTCATCCCCTCAACCTACATTGCACAGTTTCTCAAAGAAAAGACTGTTATTCATTATGTTGTAACTGCTGTTATTATGTTCCAGTAATTTGCCGATCTCAGGCCAAGACATGAGTGTAAGGATTTGGGAAGGCTGGATTTCTGATAATTAAGCTTTTGCTAAATATCTACAATAATAGTGAAGTGTCACTGTATGAGTGTCAGTCTTGTGCCAGGTACAATTCTGGGCACTTGTGTATTGTCTCACTGAACCCTTATATCTATAGGGAATTGCTAGTGGCATGTTCATTTTAAAGTATAGGAATTAAGGCACAAAGAGTATAAGCAACCAGTAAGTTTCAAAACCATGATTCAAACACATGCCATCTAGCTTTTGGGTCCACCTTCTTACAAATACACCAGGCTGCATTTATATTGAGTGGAACCATATGAAACTTCTGCTTACTGTGTGTTAAAAATATTCAAACATCAGGAATTCCAGACAGCCCTGCCTAACACATAGTAGAAGAATTACATGATCCAGAATTCAAAGAATTGGGTTCTTGATTCCACCAAATATTGTAGGGCTCTGAAAGAGCCAGTCTCTAAGCCTGAGATTTATCATCTATATTTCAGAAAGAATGAAAATCTTGGTACTGTTTTCCAGAGAGAAATAAAAGATATAAAAAAGGCATAAAGCCATTTAGTAAATAAGATCAATTAACTATTGCCATCAGAGCTCACACACACATCTCATAGAAATCCTCCTGTAATTCCCAATTTGGTAGAGCCTGAAGGGCCTGGTTAAGTTAAGACCGTCAAACTGAATTCATAGAAGAATAAAACACGCTCATTGGAAAAATCAGTGAGAAGAAAATAGCTCAAGCCAGAGTTCTCAAATGGCGTCAATAGCAGAAACATGTAATTGCACAGCAGTTTTCATTTCTCATTTAGTTTTATAGTCAACACTTTCTAAGGTTTAAGGCAGAAAAGGACCTTTGGCTGTTTGGATGACACAATCAAAGAGGAGCTAGAAGGATCCACAGCGTCGAGTCTTCTGCCTCAGAGTGTCATGAGTCCCCGGAGTCCCCCAACTGGGACACAGCATCTCAGAGTTCCTTGGAAAAGTTCTGAGCCTCCGAGCCACTGTAAGGCCCACCAGTGAGGCCTTTCCCTCAGCACTGACGTGGAAGGATTAGAGGGTGGCTAGCAGTCTGGTCCAGCCCACCTCACTCAACAAGAGGTCATGTGGCTTGGTTTAAAGAATTTATCTTGGCATGGTGCCCATTTGGCCTGGAGATAGGGACACAGGATCTCCACCGTCTACTGGGCCTTGTGGACTATGGGTCAGATGGAGTTGGGTGCCTGCTCACCACCCCTCAGTGGGCATCTGAGGCTGAATAATCCTCGCCCTCTTTATGGAAGGGAAATGATAATCATCTGCTCAATGGTCTTTTTCCAAAGATGAAGTAGAATAATGTGTAACATGCTTGACACTGTGTCTGGCACATAGAGAGCACTCAATAACTATTTCCTAGTATAACGGTTATTAATACACTATATAAAATTGTTTCCAGTAGAGGAGGAGACAAACTCCACTGCCTTTATCTTGCTTTAAGACTCCAATAACAGTTCAGGTAGCACAGCACAAAGCAATGTCCTGTGTGGCAGGGGACTTTCCAGATTTCCAGCCCCACCTCCACCTAACCAAAATGAAACACTCAGCATCCCAATTTATCTGCTGTGGGAACACAGAGGGCTGGGGCTGGACAGCTGGCCTGGACTGGCTGATGCGGAGCCAGTGCTGACACCAGCAGTTCTTAACATTTCTTGTCTGTTTTCTCTATCTATTTCCTTCTTTAAGATGGCACCAAATCTCTGAACCAGCCCTTGGCTGGTGACTCCAGCATACTGTGCTGACGGTGCCTTGTTGCATTGCACTTCTCAAATTACTCCACCCAGGGAGGAGGGTGGATACAAGGGTGTGCGAGAAGAAGACAGGATCCTGGATGAGCCTTGAGAAGGTGAAAATTCCGTGAAATAACTGATTTTTGTGTGTGAAAATGTTATATTGTACTAGTCTACTCATTTGTTTCAGTATATAAAATTATGTCTCATTTTCCCCAAAATGTTGCTGCAAAAGTGATTCCTTTGGACATTTCATCATGTTTATTCCATGATTTTCCATGGGCCCTGGAACACCACCTAGTACCTGCTAGAAGTATTGAGGTATCAGGTTCTGGAGACAGCAGTGCTGTGAAATGCTACTGTAATGACTGGTACTTATGGGGTATGCAATGGCTGTGATGAAAACTCCCTTGAGGGTTCTTCTGATTTCTAAATAGTGTGGGTATGAGGCTAAACTTGGATATTCTTATGGGCAATTATAGCCATGGGAGGCATCAAAAAGCAAGACCCACTAAATACATGGGCTGGGGTAACCTGGTTTGGGAACATAGAAGTGGCATTGACCCCTGCTGTCACTGCTCCAGGAGTGCAGGTCACTGGTGCTTCAAAGCTGACAAGACATGGCTTTGCTCCCATGGCAATTGCACTATTTATCTTGTTTCACATTAGATAGTTATTTAATCTATAAAAGTTTCACTTTCTTCATCTGTAGCATAAGAAAAGCAAAATTACCCATGAAATTGCTGTGAAAAGTAAATGTAGTTGAAGTTTATATATACACTATAAACTGATTTACAGTAAGTGCTAACTATTATCATGTAACAGCTATAAGGAGAGAGCGAGGCTCCAACTGAATATCTTTAATTAACTTTTCTGCATGAAAGTAAGCATAACAACTAGAAAATAGAAAACCAAAAAGTATATTGTGCATTGTGGGGGGCTTTTTTTTTTAATGGAGAAGTGGAGATTGTTAAATTTCTCGGTGTAGGGCAAACTGGAGACATTTTTCTACTGTATCTGTGTGTTGCTGACCATTTGTTATTTGGAATAGGCTGCACTATAAGCTTGCCTAGCAAGCGTGGTTAAACAATTTAACTGCATAAAACAGCAGATGTTAAACACAGTGAAGAGTGACTTGGTCTCACTATAGTGTGACTTTCATTATCTTCCAGTAGCAGAACTGGAACTGCTTTGGAGAAGGCTTTAAGCTTTCTTATCATGCATATAATTGGGAGACATAGGTACATCTTACAGCCATGCATCACTTAATCATGAGGATGCATTCTGAGAAATGCGGCATAAAAAGGCAGCATTAGGCAATTTCATCGTGTGTGAACATCACAGAGTGGACTTACACAATCCTAGATGGTACAGCCTACTGCACACCTAGCTGTATAGCATAGCCTATTGCTCCTAGGCTACAAACCTGCATAGAATGTTATTGTACTGAATGCTGTAGGCAATTGTAACACGATGGTAAGGATTTGTTTATCTAAACATATCTAAACATAGAAAAGGTATAATAAAAATATGATATGAAAGATTTTATATGGTATTAAATGATACACTTAGATTGAGTACTCACCAATAAAGCTTGCAGGCTGGAAGTTGCTCTGATGAGGCAGTGAGCAGTGAGTGAATGTGAAGGCCTAGGACATTACCGTACACTTTATAAACTTTATACACTTTATAAACACTGTATACTTAAGCTACACTAAATTTATTTTTTAAATTTTTCTTCAAAAATAAATTAACCTTAGATTACTATAACTTTATACTTTATAAACTTTTTAATTTTTTGACTTTTTGACCCTTTTGTAATCATACTTAGCTTAAAATACAAAACACATTGTACAGCTGTACAAAAATATTTTCTTTACATCCTTATTCTATGAGCTAGCTTGTTTTTATTTTTAGGTTTTTTCTTTCTTTTTAAATTTTTTGTTAAAAACTAACTCACAAAACCACACATTAGCCTAGGCCTACACAGGGTCATTATCATCAATATCACTTTTTTCCACCTCCACCTCTTGTCCCACTGGAAGGAGGTCTTCAGGGCACTAACACACGCAGAGCTGTCATCTCCTGTGCTAGCAATGGATTTTTCTGGATACCTCCTGAGGGACCTACTTGAGGCTGCTTTACACTTAACTCATAAATATATATATGAAGTACACTCTGAATTGAATTAAACACATACACCAATAATAACAGTAGTTTATTACGATGATCAAGTATTACGTGCTGTACATAATTGTGTGTGCTAGACTTTTATATGACTGGCAGTGCAGTAGGTTTGTTTACACCAACATCCCCACAAACAAGTGAGTAATGTGTTGTTCTACAATGTGCTGACAGCTACAAAGTCACTAGGCAGTAGGAATTTTCAGCTCATTATGACCTTATAGGAACATCATCATGTATGCAGATCAATGTTGACTAAAATGTTATTATGTGGCATTAACTACAACTTAGAAAAGCAGCTCCACACAAAAACTCTTAGGTCTTAGGACACTGGGCAGATCTCCCTCCTCTGGGAGGAAAGAAGCAATATCTTTGTTGGGTAATAGTTCCTGCACAATGGACTAGATATAATAAAAATAAAATGTGGTCTAGTATTAACTGCATGTTCCATCACTTTGGAGACCTTGAGTACACTCCCCAACCTAAATGATGAGGGCACTGCTATGAGAGAAAGATGGATTACAGAGGACAGGACACGAATGGGCAAAGCCTCTGGTAAGAGTCCTAGAATCACAGCTCTTATTGGGTTGCTTCATCTCACAATATATAGGAAAAATGAGCCAAGAAAAACACATAGGGCCCATGTGAAACCCTATGTGGTAAAGAAACACAGGCTACTTTAAGTCTGAAAGGGCAAAAACAATACTGAGGTTCACATATAGGTGGACATAAAACAACATAGTATAAAATTCTACACTAATGTGGGGCCAAGCCCCAGAGAATAATACAAGTTAACGATTGTTCACCATTCAGTGTATATACCTGAGGACCCCAGACATGGCAGGCATCAGCCAAAACAGACCAGAGGATTTGACATTCCAACGTGTCTCCTCCTGAAATTTGTTTTCAAGAAGTGACTCCATCTTATTGCTCTAAATGAGAGTTTCTCAACCTAGGCCCTACAGACACTTTGGGCACATAATTCCTTGCTGTGGAGGGCTGTTCCATGCAGTGTAGGATGTTTAGCAGTACCCCTAGCCTCTACCTGTTAGGTGGCAGTAGCTGTGACCAGCTGTGACAACCAAAAATATCTCCAGACATAACCACACATCCCTTAGAGGACAAAATCATCCTCAGTTGAGAACTACTGATATGAACTGAGTCACAATAACTTCTACTCACCAAATCACTTTCAGTCTGGTTTTAATGCTTCACACATAATATCACCAAACATTTAAGTGAACCCTTCAACATGAAAGAGAGAACTCAAAATAAACAAATAGAAAACAGTAATAGTAATTTTAAAATAAACTAAAGTTAAAATAGCATTATTTTTATAGAGAGGTAAAAATATCAAAGAAATGATGACAAGAAAACTCCCCTTAATTGAAGAGCTGTCGTCTTCAGATTGAAAGGTCATATTGAGGAAACCCCACTTAGAGTAATGGAGGACAATGTGGGGCAGATGAAGTTTCCTTCCAAGAACAACCAGAAAATATGAATGGCCTTTAAAAAATCTATATAAAGACTTTAGTTTAAAAGTTTAAAAAAGTCTACACATTGGGTACAGTGTATACTGCTCAGGTGATGGCTGCGCTAAAATCTCAGAAAGCACCACTAAAGAACTTATCCATATAACCAACCACCACCTGCTCCCCAAAACCCTATTGAAATTAAAAAAAAAAGAAAATCTATATAAAGACTTTAAAGAGCTACCAAGGCAGCAAAAGCTCAAAGGTCAGAGATGCAAGAGAAAAGAGAACCTTGGGAAGCCTGGTATTTGATCCTGCCAAAAACTGAGAGGCTGAGTCTCCAGTGGTCCACGGGACTTTGAGCTCTGGATCTACATGGGCCCTAATCGGTATCAGCTTTATAGGTGAGATCCCCACCCCACCCAAATAGGGAATCTATCCAGGAGTACAGGAAACTGGAAATTTCCCTACTAAGGCTGAAGTCTACCTCCATCAATCCACTCCATCCCCAAATGGATTAGGAAAACGTGGCCCTGCCCTAGCTCTCTGCCACAAGCAGGAAAATAACATTATCTAGAGGAATATAGCACTATCAGGAGACTCAAATTTATTTCTACAATTTTCCATTTATAATGTCTGGTTTCAATTTTTTTAATCCTTAATATTCCTGGAGACAAGACAAGAAAAATAACCAAAAAAAAAAGCAAGAGAAAAATAGACTAAAAAAATACCCACAAAAGACAAGTATTAAAGCTCACAAACATGCACTTCCAAAATGTGAGTATTGTGTCCAAAATTAGATGAAAATAGACTTATGTGAGTATTGTGTCCAAAATTAGATGAAAATAGACTTTCACCAGAGAGCTAAAAACTATTTTAAAATAAGAAAATTTAAATTTTAAGCGGAAAATGCAACAACTGAAATGAAGAACTTCATTGGTATGTTTAATAGCAGATTAGACCCAGCTGAAGAGAGAATTTGTCGATTAAAAAACTAGTAAGAAAAGAAATCACAAACTGAAGTATAAAGAGAAAATAGGTTGGATTATATAGAAAAGGAAATAAGAAGCATTGAACACTGTGAAAAGTTTTCATCTTGTTTAGAAGAGTTGCAGAGGAAAGCAGAGAGAGAAGTGATCAGAAGCAATGCTTCAAAAGATAGTAGCCAAGACTTTCCCCAAATATAAGATATTTGGCCACTGATTCAAGAAATGCTACAGAGCCAAAAGAGGATTCTCATAAGAAACCATAACTAAGTCAGTCACAGAAAAACTTCCGGAAAGAAATAAAGAAGTAAAAGAAGGGGGAGAGGCTGGAAGATAATTTAAATACAAACAAAGGAAAATATAAATGTCTCAAACAAGTCCTCAACAGAAAATACAATACAGCCTTAAAGTATATAAAGCCTAAGTGGACAGAACCTCAAGGAGAAATAGGCAATCCCACAGTCATAACGAGAAATGTAAACACACACCTCTTAAGAGCTGATGGAACAAGGAGACAGTGAGGATGCTCAAGACGGCACCCAACAATGCAGGAACCAAAACTGACCCTGTGTGCAAGGATTGAGTGAGTCTCCATAAATGTTAAGCAAATGAAATCGTATTAGCGAAGTACATTATCTTACCACTGTGAAGTAAAGCTGGAAGTCATTAACCCAAAGATAAATAAATAATACCAAATATTTAGAAATTAAGCTATAGTCTTTCAAATAACCTAAAGGTGAAAAAAAAAGGAAATTACACCACATGTTTAAAATATGCTTAACTGAATGAGAGTGAAAATACAAGATATCAAAATTAGTGAGATGCAGTTAAGGTAATGCCAGAGGGAAGTGTCTAGTGATGAGTATATATATATGAATATATATATATGAGTATATATATATGAGTATATATATATCAGAAAGATATATATATATATATCAGAAAGATATATATATATATATCAGAAAGATATATATATATATATCAGAAAGATATATATATATATCAGAAAAGAAAAGAAGACAAGGTGGACATGAATAATTTAAGTATTCATCTCAAGAAGTTACCAAACACACACACATACACACACACAGGGCAAAAGGAAAAAACCAATAGAGAGCAGAAATCAATGAAATCAAATGAAATATAAGGCCATAAACGGTGGGTTTTTTTAAGACTAATAAAAATTGATAACCCTCTGACAAGACTGATTAAAAGCAAAAAGGAGAGAGAAAGAAGAGATGCAAAATTATTGGTAATGAAATAGAGGATATTTCCACATATCATTCAGATGTAATTTTACTTTACTGAGTAAAATCACTCAGGAATTTTTTCTCTCATTCTCTTTTTCAAGACTACACTGATTAATATGAACCCACAAAACATGACAACAAAACAAAAATGAGGACCTAGAGCCCAGGAATCATGGTATCCACCCCAGGAGAGCAGAGCAGAGAATTCCTAGGAAAGCAGCTGGGTGCTGGCAGGAGCGGCTAGCCTGCCCAGGTGGAGCATGGTAGGGGGTCTGGGTGGCGTCTGCACAGACAAAATGACTCAACATAAAGGTGATGTGTTGGCACACAGAGCTGGGAGCAATGGAGAACAGGTGTTTCATGTAGTAGCAAGAGAGCATGAAACTCTAGGAAAAGGGAAACATGGTAAATAAGGGAATGTCATTATAATGCATAGCCTGACTCTGCACTGAACAACATTTATCTCCTCATACTGTTTTATAACTACTAAAATGGTCATATTACCATAGTGGGAGCAACTGATCAGGGAAATGATGTAGTACAAAACTAAATCTGCATCTTTCAGAACAAGAAATCAATTGATAATTCCTGTAACAAATAAATCAAGAAATACTGCCGTAGGTGTATCAGTTAGAAATATAAGGACCGATCCCAAAGAAATTCCTAAGTAATTTTAAATTCATACTATGGAGTGAAATGGAAGGCAGAGCTAGATGAAGGGACTTTTTCTTAGTAACAGTCAATATTTATAGATATGAAAAACTTTTATAATAATCTTAATTTTTGAATAGGAAAACTTATTCAAAAGTAGTGTTGGCTAAGCAGCAATGTGTTGAACAAACGTGGCTCAGGTACGATTCACACTCTAAGACATCTGCATTAACACTAGCACCATGGTAGATGCAAACTCAGGAGACTCAGGTAACAAAATTATGTGAACAGTATAATCATTTTTGTGAAAATACATATTCTTATCTTCATATGAGTACATATAAATTCACCTAAAAAAGAACTCCGAGGCTTTTAAAATAGCTATCTGTGGTGATAAGATTATAGGTGGATTTGTTTTCTGGCTTATTTGTATTTTCTAATGTTTCTACAACAGACATATATACTTTTTGTAATAAAGCAAAAAGTTATTTTTTAAAGTTATATAATGAGGCCAGGCGCAGTGGCTCACGCCTGTAATCCCAGCACTTTGGGAGGCCGAGGCAGGAGGATCACCTGAGGTCAGGAGTTCGAGCCAACCTGGCCAACTTGGTGAAACCCCATCTCTACTAAAAATACAAAAATTAGCCGGGCATGGCGGTGCGCACCTGTAGTTCCAGCCACTCAGGAGGGTGGGACAGGAGAATTGCTTGAACCCAGAAGTCGCAGGTTGCAGTGAGCTGAGATTGCACCATTGCACTACAGCCTGGATGACAAGAGCAAAACTCTTGTCTAAAAAAAATAAAAATAAAATGAAAGTTATATAATGAATAAAAATGACAGCATGATTGGGCAAATATTCCCAAAAGTTGCATCAGTATATCTTCAAATAGTCACCTCAGTTTCCAGGTACTGTTTATAGGATGAAGAAAAGTGAGTATGACCTAGGTATAAATTTTAAAAGGGTGCATGCAGTAAGGTGAGTTCATTTGTTAGCATAGTTACAAAAGGAGATTTGCATCTGGTCAGTGATCAATCCCCCACCGCCACCCCACCCGTGAATGCCTGACCCCACTCTGTGCCTGCTCCCAGAGGGCTGTACAGGGTCGGATGGAAAATAACCAACATTCACCTGGATGATATGGTCTTCAATCTCTAGCGTCAGGCGGAAGCAGAAAGAAGAGAGGATCACACCTCATGGATCTCAAAATTCCATGTGAATCTCATATTCTGTGTCCCAACACACTTGTAGGAAAAGTTCTAAATTTCTGGGGAACTTTCTCTTAATTTTACAATAGAAGTTTACATGTGGGAAAACCTATTCAAATGTACTGTTGGCTAAGCAGCAACATGTTGAACAAATGTGGCTCAGGTACGATTCACACTCTAAGACATCTGCATTAACACTAGCACCATGGTAGACGCAAACTCAGGAGACATCTGCGTTCCACACAGGAAATCTCTCAGACCCATGTCAGTCCTTGGTTCCAGCAACAGAAGATGGGGACACTATTATTATAAACTTTCCAGTGCTACTTCTTCTTTTAAAGGTGTTTTAATTAATTGAAAAAATTATGTAATGCATTTAAAATATGAAACATTTTAAAATATGATTAACCTTTCTGAAGTAAAATATTAAGTATTGCATTCACCAGAAATTTTTTTAAAGGGAAGTACTATATTATGCCGAATAAAATGTCTTGCCTTCCTCTAACTTTCATATGTAAGGCAGATCCGAAACCCTTTCCCATGTACAAGCAGAGTGTGAGGGAGCCAGGGACCTGGAACAGCCTGACACCCATCCTCCCTCTGACTCCAGGTCCCCACCAACTGGGTTAGGCTCCTGAGAGCTTCTCTGGCAGGGCCCTGATCGCTGATTTTGCCACAGTGTTGCAGTTTCTAAGCATGGTCATCTTCTTCTCTGCACTGCATGGTGGAACAGGAATATTTTATGCCCCTCTATGGATTATTTCATGGAACTGGCTCTCCTCGTGTGTCCAGCAAATGTTTGTTAAAACACCTAAATGAATTCACAGATACATCAATTGCAGAGGTACAATAAATGTTTACTGATAGGTAATGTTTTTATCTGAGCTTCCCATTTTCAAATCTATGCAATGGCTTTCAAGTTACTTTTAACTCAATAATAATAATAATTTCTTTTATAAACTTGTTTTGTAATTCACAATTCTTGTGTTTGAATCAGAAAACTTCCTTTTTAACTAGGTTCTTTACTAGTTAAGTCCTGAATCAGTGAATCGAAAAAACTTCAGGTATGAAACAAACTTTGGGGAGTATTTAGTTCAAGCCCTTCAGGATCCAGATAAGAAAATAGAAACTGAGAGAGGAAAAGTGACTTGCTGGAAGTCACCTAGCAATGCCATGGCCCAAGGGGGAGGACCCACCCAAGTGGCAGAGCCATATGGGCAGAAGAACACTACCATGCCCATCAGCACACTTACCGTATGTCTGGAGTTTTTCAGTAAGTTTGTCTACATCAATGTGCAACTGGTTTTCTACAAAGTTTCTTACAAATTTGTTTCTCAGGGCCTCCTAAAGAAAAATAATATAGCTTAATAAAAATAATTGCATTATTTCGTATTATTGAATAATACTTATTAGACTTATTCAAAGTTTCATTACAAAGGAACAAGGCACATAAACTGAATCCACTTAAAAGAAGTTTTAAAACACCACAATAAATAACAGGATAATATCTTATTAGAAGCTTACCTTGAAAAACAAAATCAACAATTATGAAAATTTATGTTGTAGTTGTAATTATGTGTTAATACTAAAAACAAAGAATGAATTAAGTGGTTTGTTTTTGGCAAAATTTTCAAACGAACCTATATAATGAACCTTTCTATAAGATTCCTTTCCTTTGCATGGCCTTTCCCAGAGGCCAGTTGTAAACAGAGGGTCATTGTTATGAAAACTCTGAAGGAGGATTTCAGAATTTCCCAAACCCTCTCTCAATGTTTGGCTATTCATCTTCGGAAGCATCTTTCATTGCTTCATCTGTACCATTCTTCTCTCGTTATTATTGATGGTTGTGACTTTGCCTCATTTTTCAATGATTGGAGACAAATTGTTTACTGTGGAGAGTTCTCCAAGATTTTTTCATCAACTTCATGACATCTTGCCCCTTTATTTTGCCATTGATATCCATGTACTTGCATTGCACTGCCTGACACTTACAACATACAACAACCAACAAGAAGCTGAGAGGGAAAGATACTGATGTATCCAGGCTCTGCCTCAGGATCAATGACTGGGAATTAATTTTGGAATTTGCCAATTTCTTGGAGAATATTTGTACACTATCCAGATTTTGGTCCAGCACATAACCTAATAGCACAAGAGGTCCATATAGGAATTCTCAAGTAATATGTGCCCTTTGTAATTAGCTCTTTTATTTCTCACATTCACCTTATTACATGTGATAGTTTTAACTAATCTTGTCTAAGGATGACAAGGTTTTATTATGAAAGTTTGGTGTTTGCTTTTCTTTTTTGGAATCTTATTTATCTTCCTTCACTGGGCATTCGCTATTTGCCAGTCAATGTGCAGGGTAGTTATTATGCATCATGTCATTTAATCTCAACAACATCCCCAGGAGGGTACTGTTGTCTTTTACTGATGGAACAGGGAAGCAGAGCAAAGTTAGGGCTTTCCTCAGAGACTCTAACCACTCCATCTAGTGGCAGAACCAGGCCTGCAACATACACATCGACTACTACAAACCCAAGGTACTGCGAGTTCCCTTGAGCATGATCCCAAAGCTAAGAAATAGAGGAACAACTTACGCCGTCTTATCCTTTGGAAGATAAGTTCTTCAACTGGTTGAACATGTGACTGATTTCTGACATGGCTACTTAGTAAGTAGTACTCAGGTACACCATAGACTTCACAAGGAGCTGCCCTATTTTTGAGGCCGAGTTAGGCACTGTTTTATGTTCTCCTAGATATTTGTACATTCTCGACTTGGTGCTTATAATATTGCATGAGATTATATATAGTTGCAGCAGAGACCTTATCTAGTCTAAAATACTATCTGTCCCATTAACTGCAAAGGTTTGCTGATGTCTGTATTAACAAATTAATCCATACACAAACAAATTAAAGAAGATTACAATACTAGCTAATACATATGGCCATGGTCGCTGTGAGAATGAACATCGCAGACCTCCAACTGCAGGAAACGGAAATGGCAGGGCCCACTGCTGCACTCTGAATCCATGGCACTTTGCCCTGAGGCCACGCCTCCCATGGGCTGTCTCTCACCAATGACCACCACATCAGGCCCACTCCCAGGAGCCACAGGACTCCACTGACATGGGACCCCTACCTTGATAACTGACTTTAGCTCTGTGACTCCCTCTCGGCCTTATCTGATTTCCATTAAATTGCAGGGCCCACCAGGATGCTTCCACCCGACCCTCTCCCTCTCTCCTTTCCTCAGGGTCAGACTTGCATCACCACTGACAACCTTGCTTCCAACCTGTCTAGCTTCCTCTTCCTTTCCTCAGCAGCTATCTCCCAAAATAAAATTATTGCACATGTAATCCTGTCTTGGCATCTGCTTCTTGGAAAACTCAGACTCACACAGTAGCATTTTCTCTGTGTCAAAACCTATTCCAAGGGCTCCATGTATCCTGACCCATTTATACCTCATAACTACTATCGCTTCCTCATTTCTCAGGGAAGAAACTCAAGGTACAGAGAACTTCAGTGACTAGCCCAAGATCACACAACTGGTGGCAGGGGTTGAGCCGGGAATCAAACTCAAAGGATTCTAGCTCCTGAGTCCATACTCTGAACTACTTACCTGGTAAGTTAATAAAAAAACTAAACATGAATTAAAATGCAGGCATATTTTCTCATCCTATCAGAGTTAAGGTAAGTTGAAGCTACACAAATGCCCAAAAAATTATTAGGTGATCTACCTGAATTAAAGTTTTATATTAATGATTGTCAGACTCTAATGGAGTCAGGCCATTCTAAACTGTAAGTCGTTCCTTTTAAAAATATTAAGTTATCAATACAGAATATGCAGAAATGATCATTGATTGTTGAATAGACCTGCAATTCAAAAATATGCAAACAATCTAAAAAGCATTAAGCTTAATAAAGAATTTAAAGAAAAAGTTACTATTAAATTATTAATCATTCTCACAACGATACCATTTTGCATGGGTAAAATACTGAAAATTCACAAAAAGTTTTCACACATCTCTAGTTTTATGTCAATTATATGAGTCAACTAGAACCACTATGCCTGATGTGACTCTGTAGAATCTTCTACAGGGCAGCCCTGATGTCTCGGACATGCCCTAGCAGTAGCTCCCCATCCCTCGGTGGCAAAGACCAACCACTCACCTGCAGCTGGTTGAACATCTGGCCACTTCCACTTCTCTGGAAAAGGCTGGACATTTCCAGCAGTGTTTCTGATAAAGTTTTTAGTTTGTCCACAATATAAAAGGTGTAATTAGCCTGCAAAATGAAGCATATTTGGATATGTCTCTTATTCAGCTGTTATATTAAGATAAATCTTCCAACAAGGACTGTATATGATGTGGCCACCAGAGCAAAGATCTGCCTGCAGGCCAGCTAATGCCTTCCTCAATAACATGAAAAGTTCCAATGCTCTCACATCACAGGTGAGTCCTCTGAAACCTCTCTCCTTGACTCTGTCCATCCAGGGGCTACCTGCCTGTTCACTGCTGTCTCGCCAGTGTTAGAGTCACTGCTGGGTACAGCATATGTCCCCAGTATATACTGACCAAATTAATCAATGCTTGCCCACATTTCTTCCTCAAAGATACATTCTCAACTAATACTTACTTGTTTAATGGTACCCAACACTATTGAGGATAGAATAAAATTGGTATATTTTTTCATTTATTGCTACTGGCAGAGTACACTGGCATAAGACTTTTATAAAATAATTTGGTATCAGAAAAATGCAGTCACTGATCCATAACAAATGCACATGCTTTACTCTCTCAAGATAAAAGGACTCTATCCTAAGGAAATAGTTTAAATAAAATATAAAGTTATTTCCATGAAGATGTCTATTGCAATATTATTACATTTAATACTGAAAATAGTCTAAATGCCAAAGGGACAATGCTTAAGGAGGGTTTGAGAGTCTAACCACATCTCCCTAGGGTCACTAGGAGACCCTCACAATGGCACAGGAGCTGAAAAGCAGCCAGCACAGCAAACAGAGAAAAACCTTGAACTCTCAGCTTCAGTATTCAATAAAAATAGGGATAGAGGCCGGGCGTGCTGGCTCACGCCTGTAATCCCAGCACTCTGGGAGGCCAAGGCGGGTGGCTCATGAGGTCAGGAGATTGAGACCATCCTGGCTAACACAATGAAACCCCATCTCTACTAAAAAATACAAAAAATTAGCCGGGCACGGTGGCAGGCACCTGTAATCCCAGCTACTTGGGAGGCTGAGGCAGGAGAATGGCATGAACCCGGGAGGTGGAGCTTGCAGTGAGCCAAGATTGCACCACTGTGCTCCAACCTGGGCAACAGAGCAAGACTCCATCTCAAAAAAAAAAAAAAATAGGGATAGAGACTCTTGTAAGTATTAAGACAAATTAGTATTCCAATACCTTGGCACCAGGCCTGGCACATAGCAAATACTCAGTAAACGCCAGCTATACTAACCAAAAATGCATACAGATATGCAAAGGTTGAATAACATTATTAATGCAACACATGTAGAAGATCTGTAAAATCTTTAAAAACTGCAAATAGAGAATACACACACACACGTACACACACATTAAAATCCCCAGCCAAAATACCTCACATTTCTAACATTCTAGTAACAGAAGGCAGCCTAGCTGGGCTGCCTCTCTGGAGGGACCAGGAGTCCTTCCAACAAACCAAGCTGCCCCTGCAACACCAACAGGGGGATCAGCTCGGATGACACTGGTAATGAATAGCCAGGCAAATGGTTGTTCTTCCCCTGAGGGTAGAGGAACCACAACAAGCACCCAGGAGACAGGGCAAGGAGTATTCCACAATATCAAGTGACCTGGCCTGGAAACACTGGCTGCCCCACAGCAGGATGGCTCCTGATGCAACAAAGACCTGGGCTCCTAAGAAGTCCCCTTCTTCTCCAACTGCTGGAGGCTCCATCTCCCCAACATGGAGGCAGCTGGACTGGAGAAATCTCATCTGTCCTTTCATACTGCAGCATCAGGGAGTCCCAGATGCATCAGATAAACCAAAATTAAACTCTTATTGGAACCACAGCACACAAAGTGGGCCAAGATCTGTGTGTTAAGCCTAAGTAGAATGACTACCCACAAAAATAAAAGATTTTTACATAGGGCTCAAAGTCTCCTATTATATTGCTTAGAATACCCATGATACAATTGAAAACCACCCATTATAAAAATAACCAAAGAAAAGACAACTAGAATTAAGAAAAGCAATCAATTGATGCCAATATTGAGACACATCAGATATTGGAATAACCTGGCTAGTGTTTTAAAGCACCCATCATTTAAAAAATGCTTCAACAAGCAATTACAAATTGTCTTGAAGCAAACAAAATAGCAGAAAATCTCAATGAATAAAAAGAAATTATAAAAAAGAACCACATGGATTCTCCAGAAATGGACAATGCAATAACGCAAATACAAGAACTCACTAGATGGTCTCAGTAGAAGAATGGAGATGGCAGAGGAGAGAACCACTGAACCTGACAGCTGATCAATGTGTGGTACCCAATCTGTGCAACAGGGAGAAAGGAGATTGATAGGAAAGTGAACAGAGCCTCAAGTACCTATAGGACAATAATAAAAATTTTGATACTGGTGTCATTAGAGTCTCTGAAAGAGAGGAGAAACTGAGTGGAACTGAAAGAGTATGAGAGGAAACAATGGCTGAAAAACTTCCTAAAATTGTAGAAATACAAAAACCTACAGACTCAGGAAGCTTAGCAAACACTCAATATGATAAACTGAGAGAAATCTACATTAAACCACACCATAATTAAACTTCTAAAATCTGAACACAGTAAAAGCTTTAAAGCAGCCAGAGAACCATAACATGTTACCTCTAGGGAACACCCACTCAAAGGTTAGCAAATCTCTCATCTGAAACCCTGGGAGCCAGAAGAAAGTAGCCTAACATTTATCACGACGTAAGAAAAGAATTGTCATTGTGAATTCTGAATCTAATGTAAATATCTTTTAGGAATGAAGATAAAATAAAGACATTCTCAGATGAAGAAAAACTTTAAAAAATGAAAATATGAAACGGAATCTTGGAGCATTTGGAAGGAAGAAAAAAACAACAGAGCAGAAATGTGGGTGAATACAACAGACCATACTGTTTTCCATGAGTTTTATGAAATGTATTTGATGATTAAAACATAAATCATAACACCTTCTGATAGTCAAGATGATGATATTTAAAAGCAGAGAAGGTAAAGGGACCTAAGTCGAAGTGGATTTCCATACCTGGTTTGAAGTGGTAAAATCTCAATGCCAATGAACTGTGGTAAGCCACGTGTGTATGTCTGTATTGTAATATCTAGAGCCAGACGTTCTTTGTAAGAACATCATGCAAAAAGATACACTCAAAGACAGTATCAATAAATTATTTTTTAGAATGGGTATCCTAAAATCATGTCTTAGGGTGAGGATGCTCAACAATGTTTAAGTAATCCACAGGAAGGCAAGAAAAGAGAAACAGAAGACACAATAGCCAAAAGCTGGAAACAACCCAGATGTCCCACAATGTGTAAATGGTTAAAGAAACTGTGGACCATGCATACCAGGGAATGTTATTCAGCAATAAAAATGAATGAACTCCTGATATCTGCACAATATGGATACTACTCTAGGGAATTATGCTAAGTTTAAAAAGTCAATCCCAAATGGTTACATGCTGTATAATTCCATGTATACAACAATCTAGAAATGACAAAATTATAGAAATGAAGACCTGATTGGTGGCTGGCAGGGGTCAGGGACTTGCGGGGGAGTGGTGTAGGAATTAATGGCTGTGGTTATGAAAGGTAAAGCAAGAGACCCTGCTGTGATATGGTTGTTCTGCTTCAGTGCTGGCGATGAATACACAAACCTACACAGGTGCTAAGCCTGCATAAAACTAAATACACACACGCACACACACAGTAAAATGGGAAATTGGAAGACAAGTGAACTGTATCAATGGCAGAATACTGTTTGTGATACTGCATTATAGGTAGTGTCATGAGATGTTACCATTAGGAAACCCAGTGAAGGGTACACCGATCTTTCCATGTTTTTTCTTACAAATGCATGTAAATCTACAACTGCCTCCAAATTAAAAAGTTAATTTTTAAAAGAACATGGAATTCTAAATGAAGAGGTGCCCACTGACCACAGTTGGGATCATTTGAGCATCAAGAAAAATAAATAAAAACAGCAATGGACTGAAATACATTTAACACGTTTAAATCTATGAATTCATAATCATATTGTTTAATTAATCACCTTCAGAAGATTATAGGGAACTAATGAGGCTCAGAGCTGATAATCCCAACTAAAAGTGTGTCAGGATTTTCAGATATCCTGTGATTAAAGTCTTATTTCCATTTTATTTAATTAGGAGAAATGTCTTGGGCTTTGGTTTCATTTATACACCACCTACTAACTTTTAATTTTAGAAAATGATTTATTCCTCTCTTACTTGCAGCTATTCTTTCTTTTAAGATAGAGGAAAATATTAAAAGAATGTGACTAGGTCATAGCACAAGATATTAGCTCTGGGTTTATTTGTTCTGTTGTATTCATTATTTTTTGTTATATCAATTATTTTCTTAGTTATATCACCCTCTTCCCTCCTTATTCAGACCTTTTTCTTATTGCATCAAAGGGGAATGGGGCAGAGGAATTTGAAGATTTGAAAAGGAAACAAGTAGACATATTCAGAGTAGATAAAAGAAAAATATTTCTTTTTCACTTGGCCAAAATCAGGAAGGGAAAAACCCACGGATACAGCATCCCCCGATTCCCCTCAATGCACTTCATACTAATAAGAGCCTGCTTTCTCCCCATCTTGGATAAATGGATGAATGAATGGTTGGGAGGATAGATGAATAAATGGATTAATGTATAGATGGATGGATGGATGGATGGATGGATGGATGGATGGATGGATGTGTCAATGGATGAATAGATAAATGGATGAATGGATTGATGGATGAATGGATAGATAGATGAATCGATGGTTGAATGAATGAATAGATGGATGGATGGATGGACAGATAGATGAATGGATGGATGGATGGATGGATGAATAGATGCATGAATGAATGGATGGATGGATGGATGGATGTGTGGATGGATTTAAATGGATAAATGGATAGATGGATATATGGATGGATGGATGGATGGATGGATGGATGGATGGACGGATGGATGGACAAACAGATGAATGAATAGATGAATAGATGGGTGTGTGGATGGTTGAATAGATAAATGAATGGATGGATAGATAGATTTGGATGGATGGATGAATGGATGGATGGATGGGTGGATGGATGGATGGATGTGTGGATGACTGAATGGGTGTATGGGTAGATGGATGGATGAATGGATAGATGAATGGACAGATAGATGTGTGGATGGATGGATGAATGAATACATGGATGAATGGATGGATATGTGAATGGATGAATAGATAAATGGATGAATGGATTGATAGATTAATGGACGGATGGATGGACAGACAGAGAGATAAACAAATAGATGAATGGATGGATGGATGTGTGGATGGATAGATAAATTAATGGATGAATGGATGGATAGATGGATGGATGAATGGATGGATGGATGGATGGATGGATGGATGGATGGATGGATGGATAAATAGATCAATGGATGAATAGATAAATGGATGGATGGATAGATGAATGGATGCATAGATGGATAGATGGATGGATAGAAGGCTAGATGGATGGATGAATAGATGTGTGGATGAATGAATGGGTGGATAGGTGGGTGGATGGATGGATAGATGAATGAAGAGACAAATGTGTGGATGGATGGATGCATGGATAGATGGATGAATGAATAGATGTGTGGATGAATGAATGGGTGGATGGGTGGATAGACGGGTGGATGATTGCATAGATGAATGGACAGATAGATGTGTGGATGGATGGATGAATGGATGGATGGATGGTTGGATGGACAGATAAATGAATGATTTTATGGATAGATAAATGGATAGATGGATGCAAGAGTAGATGGATGGATGCATGGATGGATGGATGGATGGACAGATGGATGGATGTGTGGATGGATGAATAGATAAATGGATGGATGGATGGATGGACGGATGGGAGGAAAAGAGAAAGGCTGGTCTGTTGCCCCTGAAACAAAAGGGACTTGTGCCCTGACCTTCCCATACAGAGGACATGGCTAGACAGGGCATTTAGAGGGCACACAGCCAGCCCCCTAGGATGCTAACACTCAATTATAATGCCCTATGTCCTCAATATAGCACACAAATTCAATAGAACATGAAATAACTAGCTTAAAAGACTTCCTGGGATTTTATCTTGTATACACTTTTCGCACTGTACCAAATTCCAAGCCTTCAAAAGGGTTCTACTCTGTCCCCTAGAAGCCCAGTTTCAAATGCAGAAGAAGCATCGTTATTGGTTCTTCAATGTGGACCCCCTGAGTTTATCTATATGTTTACAAAAACAGATGCATTATGTTGGTATTCTGTTTTTCTTCACTCATACTATCCACGTTCTTTCTTTGCCTGAAATTCTCTTGAAGATCAGTCTGTATCTGATTCAATTAATTCTGTATTGATGTCCAGTCTCTGTTTCCCATCTCTACTGCTTACAAACAATGGCACAATAAATATCCTTGTTTGCATGTGCGAATAGCTGTCTTTGTAGTATTGATAGATATTCCCAACATGGCCTCAAAGACTTCACACGAATACACTCCCAACAGCAATGCATGAGAGTGACTCTCTCCTAATACCTCCAAACAACAAAATATATCAAATTGTGAGCCTTTAGCATTTTGATATGATATCTCATTTGTGGATATCTCATTTTGGGGATTTGCATTTCTCTTACTATTAAGTTTGAGCATCTTTTCATTTGTTTAAAATACATCTTGGGTTTTTTTATTATTTTTTGAACTATATGTTTATAATTTTTCCTCATGTTCTAATGTGCTATTTCACTAATAAATTAATTAAGATTATATCAAATAGACCACCATTTCCAAGCAGACAGGAAAACGAATGATGGAAAATTGCAGGTATCCAAGGTCAGTAAAAGAGCAACATCTATGCTCATCTGAGGGTTTGGATATTATCTAGTCTCACAGAAAAAGTACATTCACAGTTCTACTGATACTGCTGTCTTAGAGAACTGCTATTTTATAGGAGGTTATATCAAACAAGGCCACTTGTAAAATGTAATTACTTCTACTCTGGGCAACTTTGCTGAGTTTTGATAAAATGTTCCATATTGGCCACTTTCACCCATCTGAGAGCCTCACCAAACCACGGACAACTTGCTTTCCAATAACTGATTTGATGCCTACAGTCAGAAAGTGGATTGCAATGGATTTTGTTCTCTCTGTAGGGCTCCCTGGGAAAGACCTTGACCTGCCTAAAGGTCCCACCAGTGCCCTTCCCCATTGCTCTGCACATGTAAATAGCCCCACATATGTGCAGAGCCTGTGCACTTCCAGCCCGTACAAGTTTATGTAGACTCCAGGCTTGGGCAGCTTCCACTTCACTGGCATTTTTCACCTTTAATAATTATCATGGAACCAAGAATTTTTATTTCTATGGAAGTTAGTTATCAGGCTTTGTGTCCGTTTAATGACAACACTAGCAATAGCCTGTGCTTATTCTTCACTTTGCCTGATATTCTCCTGAAGATCAGTCTATATCTGATTCACCAAATTCTGTGTTGATGGCCAAGCTGTTTCCCATCTCTACTGCTTACAAACAAATAAATATCTTTAAACTGTATTACTTCATTCTCATCCTCCCAAAGGTGAAGGCAGTCAGGATTCTGGGGATGGGTGAAATGCCATGCATTGCTACACAAAGTTATTTTTTAAAATGAGGTAAATTAGGTACCCAGTATCCCAAACTGATGATAGTGAAAGAAGCTTTAGTATACAGGATCCTTATTATTTTATAACTAATACTGTAAATATGGCCAATGAAAATAAATTGGCTGCAGAGTCTGCCAAATTTGGATTCAAGCCATGAGCTTCTGTTTATCATCTAATAAACTTGGGAATATAAACATTCACAATTCTTACTACTTTTTTAATCTATAAAATGGATTTAACAATGTCTACTCCCTGGGGTTCTTGTGAGAAGTAAATGAGGGAGGACTTGGGAAAGCGTCTGATATGGTTTTGCTGTGTCCCCAACCAAATCTCATCTTGAATTGTACTTCCCATAATCCCCACCCAAATCTCATCTTGAATTGTACTTCCCCTAATCCCCACGTGTCATGAGAGGAACATGGTGGGAGGTAATTAAATAACGGGGGCAGTTTCCCCATGCTATTCTTGTGATAGTGAGTAAGTTCTTACGAAATCTGATGGTTTTATAAGGGACTTCTCCCTTTGTTCATTTCTCATTCTCTCCTGCTGCCCTGTGAAAAGGTACCTTCCAATATGATTGTAAGTTTCCTGAGGCCTCCCCAGCCATGTGAAACTGTGAGTCAATTAAACCTCTTTCCTTTATAAATTACCCAGTTTCCCATATTTCTTCATAGCAGTGTGAGGACGGACTAATACAGTGAACATGATGGTTCCTCTAACCTTACAGAAGTAAGTGCTCAATAAAGAGTGATTCAATCTGCATTTAAAACAGTGAAATTATTGGTGTTAGAGTTCTGGAACTATGAGCAAATGTAAAACTCTCTATCTGTCCTGCTCTGTTGCTCCAGATCCAATCAGAATCCACTATACCAGATAGATGAGACTGAGAGCTGATCTCTGCCCATCATAACCCGATATTCCAATTTGGCAGCTTAAGGCCAGCTCCTTCCATAGGAAGCAGTCTTCCCCATGCCCTTGTCACTGGGACTCCACATCTCCTTCATACCACAAGCAGTTCCTCTGAGGCAGAAATAGATATACTCACATGTGAATTTCTACTTGGAGAATACAGTAAAATATAACAGAAAAAATAAAACATTGGCCTTAGAGTTAAACAGACTTTGTTTCAAATCCCATCTCTGCCTCCTGTTGACAGCTTTTGATAAGGTTACTTACCCCTAAGACTCACTTTCTTTACCTGCAAAACGTGTATGACAATTGCCAACCCCTATTGTAGGTATAAGGCATAAATGAGGTTTGCAACCAACATTAGCTCTTAGCGGTGTCAGGATTAGAGCAAGTAATTCTTCCCTCTACTCAATATATGTTTGATAAATTAAAACTTACATTTAAGAACTCATGTGCTTTATGGAAACTCTTTGTACTTCAATAGTCTAAAACAAAGAAACCAATTTACAGCCGGCTAGTTATTAATTTACCTTCTCACAACTTGAAATTCACCCTTCATTGCCTGTTCTGCAATAATAAAGTTGGGCCTTTTAGACATTCTCCCTTGCCAGTTGATACACTGTTAAGCTTTGCCAGAAGAGGGCTCTGGAGGGACAGTGAAGGAAGAGGGATTTTCTCTTCCAGATTCCAGTGTGCTGCTTCCAAAAGGCTCCCATGGAGCAAGCTCCTGGATTCCCCCACATCTAGCTTCTCTAAACCTCAGCTCCTGCAATGCGCATAACCAGCAGCACATGGCACCTTCTCATAGGCAACATCCATGGCATCCCAAAGAGTGGTGTCCCAGGGATTTCTGCAGGTGTGGCATGTCCACCTAGATGACTTCCTCAGGTATGCCCTTTTATAGCCTTGCAGATTTGAAAAGTGTAGAACTTCTCCAGATACCCTAGAGTGCAGATTCATGGCAATTACCACTCACCTCAGTGATTTTCTCTGCCATACTAAGGGCCATGGTTGTGCTAACTTCAGTAGGGTCTGGATTTCAAGCCTGGATGGGGAAGTCACTTGTAGTTCTGTTTCTTCCTTGGGTTCTCTGCCCCAGCTCTAGGGGCAAGAGTTATTCCCTGTATCCGCCATTGCTGCATTCTTTAGAGATCTCTTCACTGTTGATAACCAATCCACCATTACTCTAATGCCTTTTTATAGTAATAATTATTCATATTAAACTTAACCAGTTTTCTCTTTTCTGCTTGAACCTTGACTGATACATTGGCTAATAACAAAATGGACACTGCACTCAGGAAACAGCAAAAAAATGCAGATGCCATGAAAAGAACAAAAAGAAAAAGTAATCAGATTTCTTCAATATGTCAAGATCACTGAAAGTACCAAAAGCTACAGTTTTAAGCACCGTCTGATATTTTTTGAAAAAGAAAAAAAAGCCTCTTGGGATGTGATGCTGGCAAAGGTACGAAGCCACACAAGCTAATCTAAGGGCATGAGGGAGGTTGAGGCAGGGATGCCAATGCTTTGATGCCTCATGTAAGGTAGGGTTCTGCACAATAGCCACAGGGTGGTCATAGCCACCAATAGGTTCCTGGTTCTCAGTCCTTGGCTCATATACCTAGCACCAAGTCCTATTTACAGAACATACCTGGACCACAGGGAAAACTAAAAGTTGGCCATTATGGATCAGCTTTCCTACCACCAGCTGCAAGCCATCCTTAGTCTGCAAAAATTTGCTCAGGCACAAATTAGCAGGCTTCCCATGGATAGGCATGTCTAAGTTACTGCTTCAGTAACTTGAGAGCAAACTATTGTCAGAGTAAAAAAGACATTGTTGGTTCTCTGACAGAGGAGGTCTCTAGTGACCAAAGGGAAGGGGGAAGTAACGTTTAGCTCAATTTTTAGGGAAAATTTTTAATTAAGAAAGCAATTCGAAGCACATCTTCTCCTCCTCCAAATGGCTTTGCAACAAAAATCTTCATACATAAATGCAGCTTAACAAGCTTTTTACAAGCAAACACTGTGCATCATTGTACCGTGCTAGGTAGTTAACACAGATGAGTGAGATTGGACCCTGCTCTGGAACGTTCCCAAGGAACAAACGCCATGCATGTGAGCATCCAAGGTTCAGTGGGGAATTCATATAGGTCCCGAGGACAGGTGGCTGCTGAGAGATGACCTGCAACTGGTTTCCAAGTGCTTCCTACTTATTTTTTGTTTTTAGTATGCAGTCCTACGTTCCTGTAGTAATTAGCAAACTAGCCTCCCTGGGCTACTATTTTTCAATGTGATTCCATAACCAGCTGCAAAACCATAAGGACAGGGTTCACAAGTTTCATAGAGAGCTCTAATTATTTCCATTTACAAGTGGTAAAAGATCATTCCAAAGAGGCACTGTTGTGGGCTGGCTGAATTATGTGCTTCCCAAATTCATATGCTGAAGTCTTAACCCTCGATATTTCAGAATGTGGCCTTGTTTGGAAATAGGTCTTTAAAGATCCTATTTAAATCATCAATTAAGTTAAAATGAGGTCATTGGGGTGGACTCTAATCCATATAACTGATGTCCTTATAAAAAGAGGATATTAGGACACACACACAGAGGGACAACTATGTGAGGACACAAAGAGAAGATGGCTGTCTGCAAGCCAGAGGCCCCAGGAAAAACCAGTCCTGCCATTACCTTGATCATGGTCATTCAGCCTCCACAATGTTGAGAAAATAAATTTCTGTTGTTTAAGCCACTCAATCTGTGGTACTGTGTTATGGCAGCCTGAGAAAACTAATACAGGCTGTATTAGTCTGTTTTCATGCTGCTAATAAAGATATACCTGAGACGAAGTAATTTATAAAGGAAAGAGGTTTAATTGACTCACAGTTCCATATGGCTAGGGAGGCCTCATAATCTTGGCAGAAGATAAATGAGGATCAAAGTCATGTCTTACATGGCAGCAGAGAAGAGAGCTTGTGCAGGGGAACTCCCATTTATAAAATCTTCAGATCTCATGAGACTTATTCACTCTCACGAGAACAGTATGGGGAAAACTGCCCCGGTGATTCAGTTATCTCCACCTGGCCCTGCCCTTGACACGTGGGGATTATGGCAATTCAAGATGAGATGTGGGTGGGGGCACAGCCAAACCATATCACAGGCTTCAAAATAATACACTGGGCCTGAATTCCAGCTCCACCACTTGATAGGTGTGTGACCCTGGTCAAGCTAACTTATCCTCTTTCAACCTTGGTTTTCCTAGCTATAGAATGGGGATATTAGTACCTACCTGCAGTGGTGGTTGTGAGGCATACATGAGATAATCCACATAAGGTGCCTGGCCCAAGCTCAGTAAATGAAATTAATGACCTTGGGAGATAATCTTCTTGATGGCACCCACCACTGCTAAACTCAGACAAAGCTACTGCATATCTGCAAAGCTAAGGCCTGGCTCTGGCAGCGGGCAGAGGGCTTGGCATACAGTCTACTCTATCTCCCTTGTATATTTAACACCAGAATGTCTTTGGCTCAAATGGGTACAAGAGCCAAATAATTATTATTCTTTAACTTATTCAACAGCCACTGCTGAAGGTATTCCTAGCATTCTTCTAGGCACTGGGGACGGTGGCCAAGAAGACAGACAAGCTCCTGCCCCTCATGAAGCTTATATTACAGCAGGCGACAAATAATAAACAAGTACGCCTGTAAGTCAATGAGATAATTTCAAGTAGTGATAAAAGCAAGGTAAGAGCTCCACTGATAATCGCCAAAGACTAGAAAAAACCCACACGCCCTTTAGTGGGTGAATGGACGAACAAACTGCAGTGAATCCACACCACAGAATACCACTTGGCAATAAAGAGGAGGCAACTGCTGATACACACAATGACCTGGGTGAATCACAGCCCTCGTACTGAGCAAAAGAGACCACTTTCAAAGGTTACAGATGATGATTCCATTATAGGGCATTCTCACAAAGAAAACCTACCTATAGTGATAGAGAACAGATGGGTTTAGGGTGGGAAGACAGTGTGATTACCAAGGGACAAAATGAGGGATTTGGTGTGGGCTCGGGCAATGGAACTGTTCTGTGTACTGATCCAGACAAATGTGAGAGCTGTCGACCGAAAAAAAGCCTGCCGAACTTACTCTATGTTAATTTAAAAACAAAGCAAAAACACACAGTGCCTGTTGGGGGTGCCTGAGGAGAGAAGATACTTCTTAAGAAGGTTGGAGGATAAGCTCCAGGAACAAAGGCAAGAGAAAGACAGCTGGAGCCCCCCACAGCTGGAACTGGAGGTAGGAGCACCGGCTGCCCTGGGCATTGAGAGGACAGGGAGAGTGGGAACAGGGAGAGACATGGCGTGGCTGTCTGGATCACCGCTGGTGGCCTCTCTCTGATCTCTGCCACCTGCTGAGGCCAGCCTGAAAGGAGGAAGGACCTCTCCAACACAGTGGTCAGGTGAGGACATGCGTCTCTGGCACACTGGATCCCAAGGAAGTATGGCATTTAAATTCCAGGTATGTGTGGGCTGCTGCCATGTCTGGAGTGATACACAAGGTTACTGAAAAACTTTGCCATCTTGAGCAGCATGGGAAGACTTGGAAACAAACATAACTATCAGAGTCCCTCCTCTGCAGGCGGCTTCCAGACAGAGGATCACCAGGTTCCCAACGTAGGGCTGCCATTTTATGGGACCTGCTCTGTTTCCTGATTGATGTTATGCATACAGACAGATGATGCTACAAAGCCAAATATCTGACACCTCACTGCTTGGGGATGCAAAGAAAAGGTAGTTCTCTATTTCCTGTAGCTGATCCAGTTTTTACCCACTGGGGATGGTGAAGAGAGAACAAAGTCTCAAAATTGCCTGCTGACAGTGGCTCCCTGTTCAAACAGCTTCCTCTGAGTGATTCAGGCTCTTTGGGGTGAATGCTCAAACCCCCTGATGTTCTCCAGGGGCAGCCTGGTGACAGTCAGGGGTGGAGGGCCCAGGACTCCCACAGCCATGTGCCTCGTCTGCCTGTCTGTGGTGCTGCCAGGGCCTGGCCTGCCCAGCCCACATCTTACCTGGAACCTTGGGGTCTGGCACTGCCTTCTCCCTTGCTGCTTCCTTCTCACCTCGGCTCCTGCTTTCTGAGCCTCAGCCATCTCCTCTGCCAGCCTGGCCTAGGCCAGCTTGGTGCTGAGGCCACCTCGCTCTCACGGCAGCCGGCTCATAGCAGGTCCCCAAGGCCTCCACTTGACACACTGGCTCAGGACATGGATGTCAGGGAAATCTGGCTCCCTTCTACTCCATGCTCAGAGACACTAATTCAGGTATCCTTCCTCTGCTCAGCCACACTGCTAGGACCACATGCTAGCTCAGGGCCGGCCTACACAGGGACTATCCCCCAAGACACATGGGTAGGGCCAAGGCCCTCAGCTTGCAGCTCCTCCATCATCCCACAGCCCCTGTTTGGGACCATCACCAGTAGAGGAGAAGCCAGGATGCCCACCTGACCACCAGCTTCCTCTACTTTCATCCTTCTCTTCCCAGGGGCTCCCACCCGCTCCCGTCTGGCATTATATACCCCTTTATGCTGGGGTTTCTCAACCTCAGCACCACTAACATTGTAAGCCAGATCATTATTTGTTTGGGGGTGGGGGCTTTCCTGTGCATTGTAGGATGTATAGCAGCATCCCTGGCCTCCAGCCTCCAGATGCCAGCAGCGCCTCCTACTTGTGACACTAAAAATATCTTCAGATACTGTCACATGTGCCCAGTTGGGTAAAATTTCTCCAACCCCACCCCGGTTTGAACCACTGGCCTCCACCATCTCTTTCCTCTTTCTGAGGTGACATCTGTCTTCCCCACTCCCCAGAGGCAACAATGGCAGAATGCATTTCTGGGAATAACACTTGTAGGGGAGGAGATCCCATTGGTTTACTATTTTCTGAATATTATTTCTGGTATTTTTTCCACTTCCAAATGGCACTGAGAGTTATGATTTAGCCCAGTTTCACAAAGGAGGACACTGAGTGTGACAGTTCAAAGCTCTGTCCTTTAGCCAAAGGGAGAGAGCTAGATGAAAATAAGACGGTCTGTTTTCATGGGCTTATACGTCCCTTAGAAGCCCAGACTAAACCTACTTTGTGCACCAGTGGCCTAGAATGTGCCTGGTGATTCTCACTGAAGTATCATTTCAGGCATGCTACTTATTCTTGGGAAAACAATATAATTCTTTTTTCTGTTTTTCTTTCATAGCCTCCCTTCAAGCTCACATTGTGTCTACACATTGTTCTTCAATTTTTCATCAGCCTAGGGCCAAAACTGAACACGACTCTGACCTATAAAATAAAAAGAGCATACTAATACATTGGAATCTCTTGACTAATGACATGGAAATAGCATCAATTTCTTTGCAAATACTGAGTCTGACACCCTTAGAGTATGAGTTAAATTAACTCCTGTTAAAATAGTTGATCAGGAGGCTGTTAGGCTAAGACAGCTATAGCACCTTGAGTTCCTATGTAGGCAAACCAAAACCCAAATCAATGCAAACAGTAAAACAAAAGTTAAAATTAACCAATCAGAAACCTCCAACTAACCTCCAACTAGGGACTTTTGACTTTAACGAATATATTTTCTCCCTGTTGCTGCAGCAAACACTTCATACAAGCTTCTTCTATTACCCCACATCCCACATCCCAACATAGTCAGTGGAGGGTTGAATTGTCTGGCATTGCCTAATTCATGAATAACCGAATGCTCAAATAAACTTGTTGAAATTTTAATGTCCCTAAGTTTACCTTTTAACACTCTCTAGAAGTTTTGGCCATCATTTTTTTTCCAGTTCATGAAAATGCTTGACCTCCACTGTCTTTAAGGCTGATAGATGGAGGTGCACACAGCTCTGTGGAAGGATATGGATGGGTGTGAGGGGTACAAGTGTTCAGGGATGGGGATATCAGAGCCCAGAGGCGGAAGGCCTTACTAAGGGTCCGTGGGTAATTCTGATGCATCCCCCATGAAGAGCCGTCTCCCAGATGACTGAAAATCACGGATCTACTCAAGTCTTTCATTTCACAGATAGAGGAGAAGAGTCCTTCAAAGAGAATGCAATAAGCCCAAGGTCACAGAGAGTTAGGAAAAGGGGGACCAAAATCCAGCCTTCCAACACACATACACACGTTTCTTACCACAGCATCATGCTTCTGGGTGTCACCTGTGCTATTACAAGTTAAACCAAATGAAATTACCAACTTTTATAGATTTTTTTTCCTGCAAAAATGGCAACTTCAGATGGTTCCACCTAACAAGAAGTAATGGAGAGAAAAAGACCACGTCTTAAATAATTTATAGCATGGGCCACTCCAACACTGTAGATAATATTGCTTCGCATAGCCCAAGAGGCAAACCTACAAGCGTCTCCCAGCTCTGTGGGACTTTAGACCATGAGTCTAATGACTAGAAACAATTTTCATAAAACCAAATAGCCATGGCTGACTGCTAGGATAATTCATCCCAGGTACAATGCCATAAAATCAGCTTTACAAGTGCAAAACCAGGATACCTGCATGCAAAGTTGCTAGCCATTTTAAATAAGTAAAAAAGACATCAGCTCTCAATACTGCCTGCAATATCTAAAAAGGGGCTAAGCAAAAACCAGTGAAATCTTTGGTGATTTTTCAAAAATTCTCATCATTCTCAGAACACACATGTGGGGCTTGGCACCTCCCCACACCTCTGTCCAGGCCCACAATCCTCCCGTCTCCACCTCACAGGGGCTTAGAAAACCCATCCTTCCAAGTGCTTTGCCCAATCTTTCTTTCCAGGGAGACCAGCTGCCCCCCACAGCCTGTGCCTCTGCTGCACTGAATGGTCTTTATAGCATAGTATATCTAACTTATTTCTTCAGCTATTTGCCTTCTCTTCCCCACAATAGGGTGAGCTCTTTAAAAGCAGAGATCATCACACTAATTGTTATACTGCAGAATACATCATAATATGCAATGCTATAGTCATATATTAATAATATTAACATAATAATATAGCATATCATCTTTTTTTAAAGTCATGGCCTATTTTTAAATTTTGAATTTAAAATAGAGCTGTGATATGGAGCCATTTTCTGTGAAATTCCTTAAATATCCAAAACCCTAAAAAGCTTACTACACTAAGGAAATTCGAGTAATGGCGCAGAGGCTCCAGTCCTGGGATGGCAGCTGTGAGGCCAGAGTTCCTGCCCAACAGAACAGCTCACACTGAGGATATACGGAGATCAATGTCGTTCCATGTGAGAGTGCAGACTTTTGGCAAATACCCCTCTGAAAGGACACTTTCAAGATTTTTTTTTAGGAAGTAGACAAGACTATGCCTCTACAAAAAAAAAAAAAAACTAAAAAGTTAGCAGGGCGTGGGGGCACACACCTGTAATCTCAGCACTTCGGGAGACTGAGGCAGGAGAACTGCTTCAGCCAAGCAGTGAGCTATGATTGCACCACTGCACTCCAGCCTGGGTGACAGAGCCAGAGTCTGTCTCTCCAAAAAACAAAACAAAACAAAAATTAAATAAATTATATAAATGTTTTAAAGTTTAAATACCATTCAGAGTAGGCAGAGGTAAATGCAGCCCCTGAGGTAGGTGGCAAAGTGGGAAAGGGAACTTACAGGAAACAGTGCTGTGACCTCACACAGCAACCATGGGTCAGAAGCATGAAACTCATGAAGGCAAGTTTGATCAAAAATGACTTAACTGCTCATATGATCCCATGCCATATGATCACAGTTTCCAAATTTTTAATGCTATTTGAGGCTTGGAAGCTTATCATGAATAGTGCAGGTATCTTCTCTTCTGTGTTTGACAATAAGACCAAATTATTCCTGTGTCCTTGGTAAAATGTCCCCTTTCCAGGTGCCTGTAGGCTTACAGGCCCCCTAGTAGGCAAGAAAAGACTCCAGGAAAATACAACACAATTATTTAAAAAGAAAGTGCAAATATTAATAATAACAAATCCTGCAGTAAATAGATTAGAGAGGTTAAACAATGTAAGGAAAGGAAAATAAGCAGAGCCACATAGTGTCTCAATTCCTCCTGGATACACCCTGCTTTGGTGTCTTCATCTCACCTTATTCTCCACAGGGTGAAGCAAAGCCTTACAGTGAATTCAGAAACATCACTAACCAAAATACTAACTAACTGCTAATACATCAGTTTGTATGTATCATGTCTGATTCTTTCGTAATTGTTGGATGCACCAAGCAAAACAGATTAGCATTTGTTCTCGAAGTTTTCCTGGAATTACTCCAAACAGTCCTCCTCTCTGTCTCACTGTCCTTGACTTTTCATATTAGAGTTCTGTAAGTTCACTGCATTAATTATTCTAAATAACAACCCCAACCCCCAAAGTGTCCTCTAAGGGAAGGAGTCAGCAAATCCAGATTTAACAATAACAATGACAGGAAAAACACTCAGGCTAAAATGAAGTAGATTCAAAACAAGAGCCTTCTACATAATCCAAGGCGCATAATAATTATGTCAGACATTTTTAAAGATTCCTTCCTGATTTAGTGTATGTATGGTCTATATGATTCTCATTTATTTTAACTTACCTTTTGAATGACCTTGTTAATTTCTGGAGTGTTTGGTGTGTATAGTATTTTTCCATGCAATATGGGTTTTAGGAAGGTCCACACCAAAGCACCATTTGGCAATTGTAGAATTTCCTGATAAAGCTTCAAGCAAAACGGTGCTGTTGCAATTAGAAAGAAAAAAAAAGTTGCTAATGATACACGATGCCTAGGTTAATAGGGAAATTCATTCACATATCCAGGATGCCTCATTTTCAATGACAGCCATATTTTTTTCTGACACCACTCTGAACTTTGGGAGTGCTATAGTTTGAATATCTGTCCTCCCAAACCTCAAGTTGAAATTTGATCCCCAGTGTTGGAGGTGGAGCCTAACAAGAAGTCTTTAGATCTTGGGGGCAGATCCCTCATGAATGTTTCGGTGCCATTGTCACAGTAATGAGTGTAGTTCTCACTCTATTAGTTCCCAAGAGAGCTGCTTGTTTAAAAATAAGTAAATAAAACAGCCTGGCATCTCCCTCCTCCCCCCTCTTGCTTCCTCTCTTGTCCTGTGATCTCTGCACATGGCATCTCCCCTTCAATTTCTGCCATGAGTGGAAACAGCCTGAGGCCTCACCAGAAGCAGATGCTGGTGCCATGCTTCTTGTATAGTCTGCAGAACTGTGAGCCAAACAAACCTCTTTCTTTACAAATTACCCAGTGTCTGATATTCCTTTATAGCAACACCAAATAAACCAAGACAGGAAGTAAAATAAGATTTTTTTTCCCTGTTATAGTTTTCAGCAGCTCTCAACTCATAAGAAACTTCATGCTATGTTCACTTAAGTGACTTCAAAGGCAGGAAAGAATGACTTACATTTTCAAACTAAGTAATCAAAAAGAGTATTAAATAATGACATGGACACTTGAAAATGAAAATGACAATTCAAAAAATAAATCTGGTTTTTCATCAAGAAAATTCTCATTTCAACAGTCACAATATTGAGACCGGAACTGAGCTTTTTTTATGAAGTTAGCTTTACAAGTTACTACTGAACTGTCTTTAATGAGCCCGTGCAGAACCATCAAACTTACGAATTTTGACATATTAAATTGCCTTATTTTCACGCAAGTACTTAATCCCTCTTGGTGGCTCTCATGAGTCTTGTGATGCTAGTTGATTTCAATTAAAGATTTACTTAACTAAATTGTCTAAATCAATGGTCACCTGATGAGGGTAGAGATTTCATCACCATAATGAGTAGGAACTAAATCTTATAAGGTTTTAAGCTAGTGAGGAATACTTCAGTATAACTATTTCTTTACTCATCAAGAGAACATTTAAAATGAAAATATTATTTTAGCTTTATAAGAATAAAATGAAAATATTATCTTAGATTTGATACTATGATTTATAAATACTCAAGGTATGATTGTTGTGGTTGTTTTAAATGTTACTTTCATCTTCCCAAACTTCCCATTTGAAAGGAAAAAAATTATTTGACAATAAAGTTGATAGAAATACTTTCCCCAAAGTATAAATGAAGAATATGACTACATAGGCCAGGCACAGTGGCTCACGCCTGTAATCCCAGCACTTTGGGAGGCCGAGGCAGGCAGATCACGAGGTCAGGAGATCGAGACCATCCTGGATAACACGGTGAAACCCCGTCTCTACTAAAAATACAAAAAAATAGCCGGCGTGGTGGCAGGCACCTGTAGTCCCAGCTACTCGGGAGGCTGAGGCAGGAGAATGGCGTGAACCTGGGAGGCGGAGCTTGTGGTGAGCCGAGATCAAGCCACTGCACTCCAGCCTGGGCGATAGGGCAAGACTCCGTCTCAAAAAAAAAAAAAAGAATATGACTACATAATACATTTTTAAGCCATTAATTATAGAAGTTGTTCTTACTGAAATTTAATGACCTACTCTTTACATTGCAAGCTTAATATGAACAGGAGCAATTTTATTGCAGAAAAAAGTATAGTCACGATATGTACAAAACTAAAAATGTTAACTCAGAAATCCCGACATGTGACCTACAGAAATTATGAGATGACAAATGTGTGTTTTCTTATGCCATTAAGTGTGCAATGATTGTCATGCAGCATAGAAAACGAATACACTAGGATACATTTATACCCTTATGCTAAGGCACCAACACTCCTCATATCCATTGCATCTCACAATAAGCTTATGAGCCAGGTGCTACTGTTTCTACGTTATAAATGAAACCAACATGATGCAGACACATAAAACAATGTGTCCAAAAATGCACAACTGATGGAGCTGAACCGTCTAAACTCCAAAACCTCACCAGCATGTTTATTCTGCCTTTCTAATAAAAACATCTTCACTTAAATTGGGGCCAAAAAATTATGTATTAATTTGCATTCATTTGTACCTATCATGACATATTCATTTGTACCTATCGTGACATATTCATTTGTACCTATCGTGGCATATTCATTTGTACCCATCGTGACATATTCGTTTGTACCTATCATGCATATTCACTTGTACCTGAGCTTCATAGAGAGCAAATTTGGAGGTGGCCACAGACAAGTTCTCTTCGTTATTATAATATAGCCATTTGCATGGACCAAAGCAGTGCTCATGGTCTTTATGCCTGGACCCTCACCAATACTGGTTAGCCTGGGAAACCAATGGGGCTGGGGTTTCAGGTGTTTTAGACATTTCCTTGGTGACACAGTTCCTTAGTGACTCAGGTGAGAGGATTTGTCTGTGCTCAAAGGCACTAGAACCGTTCAAAGTCAGCTGCCATGCCAGCATTTGGGGAGGTGGAAGCAGAAGATTCTATGCCAGTATATAGCAACCTTATACACAGACAGAATACTTACTATAATTTAAGGCCAATTATCAAGATACAAACGAATCTAAACACATATATATATATTACTACTGTCTTACTTGAATCTTCAGGAATGTTGAATTTTTCTTTGTCATCTTCCAAGAGTTCCTTAACTCTGGGCAAATTAATAAACATATTAGAATCGCTAAGGAATGATGCTTGGTCCTTGCAAACCATCTTCATCACAAACTGGAAAGAACCAAAAGCTGAACTTCTGGCCTGGACATTTTGTGAAACCTGAGAAAATAAGAAAACTAAATTGCAATTACATAGTGACTTAAAACAATTCCTTCACACACTTCTGAAAGTCTAGTTCCTTCCTCCACTGAATGTACAAGATATTCAACAAGTCAAAAGAATGGAATGTCTGCTTTAGAGTTTTCTGTCCTTGGGATACCATTTGAAACACTACGGTAACTTTTCTGGCCAACATACCTGGTAGAAGAGGGAAATGTCATACCTACACACACACACACACACACACATACACACACACACATAAGTCCTTACACTATTTGTCCAGTAATAAATTATTAATCCATAAAATATCACTAATTCAGACTAATTACTAGTCTTAATGTATGTCTATGCTACCAAGATATCCAGATATTTTATAGCTATACAAATTATCTATCACATGATGGACTTACATTCTGTCTCCAAGGCAGTTCTGAGAACATTGTTATCTTGCTCCTCATCCTACACGTCCAACCCTAAAATTTCCACACTCCTCCTCATTCGTGCCCAGTCAGTTCCATCCCAGGCAAAAAGAGTTCAAACAAAACCTAACATCAAGTCACTAAACTAAATCAAGTTTGTGTTTGCATTTGCAGTAAATGATCTGTAACTTGTAAGCCAATTATTTATAAGTAAATATATGTTTTAAGGTTTTTGAAAGCAATTTGCTCTCTGAATTAAGTTAAACAGGCCCTTGAAATCTCATCTGTGCAATAACTGAGTTAGTAATTTCTTACTTTATAGATAATGCATGTACTATCCCAATCTCCACACTGGTGGAATGTAGATCAACAATATCAGTTTCATGCAGTTTTTAGAGAGATGCCAGGCCTTATTCTATGTTATGCTGTTGCTTCCAGAGATATGAAAAGGTACTTTCATTCCTGTATTTTGCTGTCTAATGCAAATTTTAGATGTGGGAAGATAAAGGCAAAAAGGGGCAAATACAAAGAAGGGGCAAATTTGAATATTTCCCTAGGGACAAAGATGAAACACACACCTGTTGAAAGTCCAGGGTTTCTAGCAAGGCAGTGATTTTAAATGTGTGAAGAAACTCAGGAAGATACTCAAAGACGTGCTGGGCTTTGGCAAGCAAGGCGCTGAGGCTGGAAACTATATCCAGCAAGGAGTTGAGCAAGCCATTTGCTTCAGAAGGCATCAGAGTCTAAAGGACAAAACAAAAACAAAACAACATGAAATAACCAACACTGTATTTTTACACTCAGAAGCATCTTTTGAGCTGTGAAAACTTGTTTATCTGATTTTATTCTCTCTTGAACTTCAGAGACGCCTTTGCGGTACTATATGAAAGTTATCTTCATTAGAGTATATATAGCTCATGTGTTTTGGAGCACACTGAATTGCACTAGCATTGTTAAAATGTAAACCAGAAACAAATGTGATCTATCATTAAAATTCAAATCATTTGCCAAATATTTCTTTGTATCTTTGAGGTGACCAAGGTGGAAATTTGAGAAGAGGCTCAAAATATGAGCAGTCCTTATATGTGAAGCAATTTACATTTATCTACTGCTTTACAGTATTCATAGCATTCACACATCATCTCAATCCTCCTAATACCTTGGGGATGTGCATTATACTGTTCGTTTTGTGGATGAGAAAACTGGGGCTTGAGGAGATTAAAAGTCTTCCTGAAGTCTAACAGTTAGAAAGGTTCAGGGATGTGAATTTAACCTGGATTCTTTAAAAATGTCAGTGCCCTCTGAAGCTTACTTATGCTATCACCAACTGAAATGCTCTGTATTTTACATGATTTTTTTTTTTCATATTCTCAGTTCTACACTGGAGGCAAGGCTTTTCTTCTGTCTTGATCTTTCATGTAGCTACTGGGCATAAAATAGCAACAGGAAATATTAGTTGCTCAATAAATATTTGTTGGATGAATGGATAAATGAGGAAATGCCAGCTCTTCGCACAGAGCAGGGAAAATCACAGCTAATTTCCACTGTCTGTCATTTGGATATTGAATTTTCTGTTTTCCAGGCTGGGGCAGAGGAACCCAGTTGTCACTGCTTCTTATTTTTGCTCATTAGTGTTTTAGCTGTTAGCTCTGCAGATGACTTTCAGGGCTCCGGGATCACAGCTCCATCCTTCACAGAGGCACTCTGCTTATAATGACAGAATTCTGTCCATTCATACTATAGAGACAACTCTAGCAGGAGAAATGGTGTGTAGCTTTTGTCACTTCTTCTACTCATCTTTCTAATTGCAGCTGCCCTTTAAAAAAAAGTGGCACACAGTGACTGGCCCCTGACTTATGGTGGGGAGTGACAGGGATCCAGCGCAGCTCCAAGAGACCAGATTGATGTGCCGAATTAATATAGCAAACTGTGCTTTGCTGAAGGCTTCAGAAATTCATTGTCAGCTGAGTGAATCAGAAAGTACATGGACTTGGGAATGAGCTGCACCTGCACGTGGCCCTCACATGGAGGTCGGGCTGCCCTAACATCCTGAGCCATATCTTGTATTTAATCAACTTTCATAGAGCCCTTCATATAGAAGGTACCTGATAAATAAGAGCTGTTGTTATTAATGATGATGTCATTTTCATTGTGTCTGGGAGACTGAATCCAACCCACTATCTTATCCTTCAAAGAAATCTTGGTACAGATGATGGCCCTTGTCACAGTAATTATGTGGGCCTCTACAAGCACTTACTTCAAATCGGGGACCTTTGTGCACATAACAAAGTGGCCACTAAAGTAGCATCGTGCCAATGGGAGCTCTGTTTCCCAAAAGGCAAACTGTAAAGTTGGAAGAGAGGCTGTGGTGAGCAAATGCAGAGCTAAACCATAAGCATGTTAGCGAAAAATACGAATTCCACCAAGATAGAGGTGGGTTTGCAAATTATGGGGATGCAAGAAATGTTTATTCTCCTCCTTATGGGTTTAAAATGTAATCATTCTGAAAACAAATATTTGTTCTTGGAGTGTGTGTGTGTGGGTGTGTGTGTGTTCATTCCAACATTTACTCCCTGGACTCTTGAAGTAATAGAAACTAAGGAAATCATGCGTGGCTGAAATGGCAAATCTACCCTTTGCTGACTATAAAACTGTTCACCCAAACTCAGGGTGCCTACAGCCACCTTACCATAGTACAAACCCTGCAGCCTCTCTAATGAACCCAGAGGTTGTGAAATACTTCCCTAAAGGGAAAACAATGGTACTTGGAGCAAGATCAGTGCCTAAGGGTAAGAGGGGAAGCTTCTGGAAACTTAAGTAAAGATTCAAACAGTAGAGGCCAGAAGGAGGGGAAGCTTCTGGAAACTTAAGTAAAGATTCAAACAGTAGAGGCCAGAAGGAGGAGAAGCTTCTGGAAGGGGCAGCTTGAGAGCAGTGAGCTGTGGTTTGGAGCTAGGTTGCCCCTACATGGGTTCTGGGCCCGTCCGGAAAGTGCTGGGCCTGGGCTTGCCCCAGCTCCTCCTCACTTCCCACTCTCCACTCTCTCCTGCAGACTTCATCATCTTTAGCTTCCTCCAGTCCCTCCCTGCCCTCACACTGCTGCTTGTCAGAGGATCATGCTTGTCAGAGCCGGCACACACAGGGGATTGGGCTTCCTGTGCTGCCCACCCCTCCACATTCTCTCCAGGGCAGGCCCTGGCAGAGCTGGATGCTTCCCGCTGACAGATAGGGCCACCGTGCAGGGAGCAGCACCTAACTCGGGCCGCTCAGGAGTGGACCATGCACAATCCCAGCCTCCTCAAACATGCTCCAGGGAGGTGGCCCTTACAGAGGAGAGAACACCTGGCATTAGGAAGCGGTGCTGTGTTTTTGCAGTGGGTCCTTCCACAATGAGCATGGAGATCACCACCAACTCTGTCCCAATGCCCTGACACTTATTTCCAAGGACCCCCTGAAGGGTCTCCTGAACATCCCTTTATTACAACAAAGTCTTCTTGAGCCCCACCTTGGATTCAGCAAACAGGTGACACCAGAGGCTGGTGGAGACCACTGCAGAGTGGCCAGGTGCTGATCTCCCACTGCCGCACCCCTAGGACTACTGTACTTATCTGCAGCCACCACAGCAGAGTCCTGCAGAGGACTGCCCCCAGCCAGCATGCTCTCCATACCTTGTAAATGAAAGCTCGCACATCCAAGTTTCGACTCAGCAACACAATCAGAGAATACACTTTTGACCCTGGCAGGCTACAGAGTTCCTCCGCTGCGATCCAAGATTTTTCCCCTTTGGGAAATGTCAGCAGGAGATGAAGGATTTCCTGATCACACTTTCCAGACAGAGCTACGGTGAGGGCACTGAAGAGAACCTGTTTCAAAGCACAGAGATTAGAGGTGAGTATACCTATGACGTCATGTGCTTCACCACCTCAGACCGGAGCTTCATCGGCAGGGAGTCGCCCAAGAGTGGATTTCCCAACTCCCGGGACTGACCTGCAGATGCGGGGAGCCCAAACTGGGGTTCGATTCTCAACATTTTGATGGAAATGTTTCTGAAGTGCGCACATCATTCTCTGACTTCTTATAAAATTTGCCCTCGCTTGAGGTCTTTGGATCACCCTTCTGAAACTCTGTCCCTCTGCTCTCCACGAGGCTCACTCTGAATGCCCACCAAGCCCCCACCCTCCGATGCCACCCCCGTAGTTAGCATCTGTGTCTCGTTTGTCTGATATTAAGTCTTACCCTTGGCTTTCAGTTTATCAGCTTCCACTTTTCACCGTCATCAGTGTGAAGCTGATATTTTTTGCTCCTTCATTTTTAGATTGAAAACAGGATTACCAAGCTTGTTATATATTTTTTTAAAGCAAGTACACTCAGAAGGAGGCACTGAGGACAACTTATATTAGTCTCTAGTTTATTACTATCATGCATCGCAATTAAAGGCTTTGACACACCTCTTCATTTGGGTATGCTTTTCAGTTAAGGACATTTGTGATATGCCAAATTACAAAGCAAAATAAAACAAAAACCATACTTCCTGCTCCATGTTTTTGCTCCTGATGGGTATGATTGCTGTGAAACATTCAGGCCAACTGAGGCCGAAGTGCATGAACCTATGTGAATAGGAACCATGCTCTCTGAAGAAGAGCACGGAGAACTCAACAGATGCCATAAAATGTTCCCAAAATACAGTAAGATATAAATAATGGTGTAGTAGTCAGGGTCCTCCAGAGAAACAGAACCAAGAGAATGTGTGTGTGTGTGTGTGTGTGTGTGTGTGTGCAGTCATGTGTCTCATAATGACAAGGATACATTTGGGAAATGCACCATTGGGTAATTGTTTAATTGTGTGAACATCATAGTGTGCACTTACAGCATCCTAGATGATACAGCCTCCTACATACCTTGGCTATAGGGTATGGTCTATTGCTCCTAGACTACAAACCTGTACAGCGTGTCACTGTACTGAATCCTGTAGGCAGTTGTCACACAGTGGTAAGTATTTGTGTGGCTGAACATATCTAAACATAGAAAAGGTACAGTAAAAAGGTACAGTAAAAATACAGTAGTATAATCTCATGGGACCACCATCCTATATGGGGTCCATTGTTGACCAAAATATCGCTATCTGGTACATGATGACAAACCACATATACGGTGGTAGTCCCATAAGATTATAATGGAGATGAAAAATATGATTATAATGGAGATGAAAAAATTCCTATCTTCTAGTGACATCAGCCATTGTAGTGTTGTAGCCTGGCGTATTATTCAAGTGTTTGTGGCAGTGCCGGTGTAAACAAAACTGCTGCACTCCCATTCATAGCAAAAGTATCACACACACAATTATGTACAGTACATAATAGTGACAAGGATAATAAATGACTATATTACTGGTTTATGTACTAACTATACTATATTATCATTATTTTAGAGTATACTCTTTCTAGTTATTAAAAAAAATTTAACTGTAAAACAGCCACAGGCAAGTCCCTCAGGAGGTATCCAGAAGAAGGCATTGTTATCACAGGAGACGACAGCTCTACGCATGTTATTGCCCCTGAAGACCGCCCAGTGGGACAAGCTGTGGAAGTGGAAGACAGTGGTATTCATGATCCTGACCTCATGTAGGCCTAGACTAGACTGTGTGTTTGTGTCTTAATTTTTAAAAATACGATTTTAAAAGTTAAAAGTAAAAAAACTTAAAATAGAAAAAAGCTTATAGAATAAGGACACAAAGGAAAACAATTGTACAGCTGTGCAATGTATTTGTGTTTTAATATAAATGTTATCACTGAAGAGTCCAAAAGTTTTTTAAAATTTTAAAGGTTCGGCAGGGTGCAGTTGCTCACACCTATAATCCCAGTACTTTGGGAGGCTAAGGCAGGCGGATTGCCTGAGGTCAGGAGTTTGAGACCAGTCTGGTCAACATGGTGAAACCCTGTCTCTACTTAAAATACAAAAAAAATTAGTTGGGTATGGTGGCGTACACCTGTAATCCCAGCTGCTTGGGAGACTGAGGCAGGGGAATTGCTTGAACCAAGGAGGTGGAGCTCACAGTGAGCCGAGATTGTGCCACTGCACTCCAGCCTGGGCAACAGAGCAAGACTCTGTCTTAAAAAAATAAATAAATAAATAAAGTTTATAAAGTAAAAAAAGTTACAGTAAGCTAAGGTTAATCTATGATTGAAGAAAGAAATTTTTTTTTATAAATGTAGAAACACACAATGTTTATTGAGTCTACAGTGGTGTACAGGCATGTCCTAGGCCTGCACATCCGCTTGCCACTCACTCACTGACTCACCCAGAGCAACTTCAGTCCTGTAGCTTTATTCATGCCAAGTGCCCCATACAGGCATACCATTTTATTTATCTTTTATACCATATTTTTCAGTACCTTTTCTATGTTTAGAACAGGTATAGTAAAATACGTTCTTGTGTTTTCTATGTTTTGATATAGAAATACTTACCACGATGTTACAATTGCCCACAGTATTCAGTAGAGTAACCTGCTGTACAGGTTTGTAGCCTAGGAGCAACAGGCCATACCATATAGCCTAGGTGTGTAACAGGCTGTACCAGCTAGGTTTGTGTAAGTATACACTATAATGTTCACATAATGATGATATCACCTAATGATGCATTTCTCAGAATGAATCCTAGTCATTAAGTGACACATAGCATACATACATTGAGAGAGATTTATTTTAAGGAATTGGCTCATGCAAATGTGGGGGCTGGCAAGCCCAAAATCTGCAGGGTGGGCCAGCGGATTTGGGACCTAGGAAGGAGCTGACATTGCAGCTCACATCTGCGGACTACCTGGAGATGGAACTTACTCTTCCTTGGGGGACTTTCTTACTTTTTTTGCCTTCAACTGATTGGATAAGGCTGACTCACATTATGACGAGTAATCTTCTTTACTCAAAGTCTACTGATTTAACTGTTAATGTCATCTAAAAAATACCCGCATAGGGACATTTAGAATAATGTTTGAACAAATATCTGAGTACTGCAGCCTAACCAAGTTGACACACAAAATTAATCATCACCAATGGCTATGATACTCTAGTATGCTAGTGTGCATTTTGAGTCTTTAAGAAAGGATATTAAGTATTTTCATCACTAACTTACCAAAAAGACCTTTTTTCATATAGGGCTGGCATTGTGCAGACACACATTGGTGAAGTTTTCCTTAATGCCACTGTTTTCAATCATGCTGTCTCTGGGCAGAGGGGAAGCTCTCAGGAGGAGGTTGGGAGCAGAATATAGGCATCTACCCTTTGCTTTCACAAGAGGAGCCTCTCTTTGATCAGTCCCACAAAATAGGCTTTTGCATGAAACTATCCCTCAAAATGGACCTCATCCAAACCCCCAATTCAGGGGAATCACCCTGGCTTTTCATGAGCATCAACCCAAGCTGGCCCAATGAGAGTCCTTTCTGCATTTGTCATAGAACATTTGTATTAATTACTTTCTAGCATGTCACACAGTGGTCCCCATGCAAGATCATATTTAATACGTTTTTTAGAGTCTAGTCCCAGGACAAAAAATATTTGTCCTGAAATTTTTTACATCTCTTTTTACCAAATAGAGAGGATCCCACACCCTGTCATGTGGAAGCTCCGCAGTCACAATGCACAGAAGCCACAGCCCCAGCAGCACATTTGCTCCCTCTCCTTTCCTGTGGTTTTCCAAATATTACTATTTATCTTTTAAAGATTGTATTGCGTTCGTTCGTTGTTCCTGTTTGAGAGTAGGTAGGAGGGGAGGAAGATTAGAAAAGCAAAGACAACACTGAGTTGTGCTTGATTGGAAATATCTTGTGTGATTTCTATTCAAAGTAAAACAGGCACCTTTTATCTCGGGCTTTGCATAGGCTAATGCTGCAAATTATCAGAAACAGAATGCCAAGTTCCTGCTGATTTTCCTGTGTGTCAGTGTTTGGTTTGGAAAGCTGTAAGGGGGCTTAGGATCCAGGGCGATGCCTCTCTGCCCTGCGAGCCTGGCTCATACACACTTGGCCACTTAGATAATTATCTGAGTATTTATGTGGTTTAAAAATGACAATGATCCTTAGGAGAGGCATTTGCATTTTTAGCAAGAGCTTTGTTTATTGGACATCTGCTGAAACCCGAATCGCATTCAGAGGAGAGCACCAGAGATGGCCTCCATGTTGCCCAGCTGCTCATTGTAGACTCAGAGGTTGGGAAAGCATGGGAGGAAAGGCTGCCCTCAGCTCAGTTGTGACCGGAAGGGAAACACGGACAGTGATTCAAGGGAACTGGAGATGATGGGGAGAGAGAGTCTGCCAAGTTAGAATTTGTAAGACAAGACAATGAAAGGAGCGCAGGTATTTAAAAATAGGCCCTACGCCCTTCAGAGAGGAGCAGTGTGGCTCTCTGCCATTGGGGACCCATTTGAGCTCAGAGCTGCTCACAGGATAAAGAGGCAAGTACAAGAGATGAGCATCGGAGGGCAGGAGAAGGCTGCGAGAACCTGGCCAGAAGGACTGAAGCCACACTGTGGCAAGGTGGTGGATCCTGACTCCAGCTCTTACCGTCTGACTTCCTGAAAGCTGCTTAACATCTACACACTTCAGTTTCTTTGTCTATACAACCAGGGATGACAATAAAAGACAAAGGGCTCCAAAGGGTTGTTGGGAGAATTAAATGAGATGTAAAGCATTCAGCTCAGGGGTAGTGTATATAAGTGCTCAAAAATGACGTTACTACTAAGAAGCCTATCAGTCACTGCCAGCAAAAGCACAGTTTTGACTTACAGGATATTTAAGGGAAAAGATGAATAAGAATTAGGTGGGTTTATTGATTAAGGATGATGATTACACTTAAGAGAACTAATTAATTCCTTCTTGGTTTTCATATTCCTAAAGAGAAACATCTTCACACTGGAAGGGTAAAACAGGATGCCTAGGAGATCTGTGGATAAGCATCTTGGCAGCTGGCCTCTAGGGCAGTGCCAATGGTGTCCTTGCCCAGTAAGGCAGGCATCATTTGGCTGCAGTTCCTTTTTTTCTCAAATTTTATTTTAGGTTTACGGAGTACATGCAGGTTTGTTGCCTGGGTAAATTGTGTGTTGCTGAGGTTTGGTGTATGAACCATCACATCACCCAGGTAGTGAGCATAGTGCCCAATAGGTGGTTTTTCAACTCTTTTTCCCCCTCTCATCCTCCCCATCTGGTAGTCCCCCTCTAGTAGTCCCCCATGTCTATTGTTCCATCGCTGATCATTAGAGAAATGCAAGTCAAAACCACAAGGAGATTCTATCTCACACCAGTCAGAAAGGCTATTATTAAAAAGTCAAAAAATAAAAGATGTTTGTGAGATTGTAGAAAAAGGGAACATTTATACACTGTTGGTGGGAATGTAAATTAGTTCAGCCACTGCAGAAAGCAGTGTGGGGATTTCTCAAAGAACCTAAAGAGAACTACCATTCAGCCTGGCTGTAGTTCTTCAGTGAGGCCATGGCTGCTGTCTGGCCACCTTCTCCACCAACTTCTCTGTCTCCATTTCCAGTTCCCTCTCTCCCTGTTCCCTCTTCATGCCTTCAGAAAGAGTGACAGTTCTACTATCTACAGTTTTTAAGAAGTCGTGATGGAAATAAAAACTATCCAGGTTTTATTTTGTAAAGTAGACTTTAGAAATTACTAATAGATAATAATGTCAATTCTTGAAGAATTCTAATCATGGATTATCCAAAAGATTATGTGTAAGCCCTTGAAGAAAAAGAAAATTGCTGGAAACCATGTCGATACAGTCATGATCAATGAGCCATGTCAATATAAAGTCATTTTCTTTTAATGATGAAATTATTAGGCTAATAAATTACCAAGACACCCCAGACAGACATGTTGCAACTGATTTAAGAGCCCAAACAAATAAATAGGTGTTAGGTTATACCTTCCTATGCCATGGTAATCTTTCTGCACTAACGACTTGGATGAAAATATAAAAGATACTCTCATCTTTTGGTGACTGATGAAGTTGAGAGAAAAAAATGATACTTTGCAAATTAAAGTATCAGAATTTGATATCAAAAAACACCTTGAAAGAATATCCAATTAACCAAAACAGCATGGTACTGGCACAAAAACAGACACATAGACCTATGGAACTAATAGAAAATAGAGTCCAGAAATAAGGCCGTAAACCTATAACTATCTGATCTTCGACAAACCTGACAAAAACAAGCAATAGGGAAAGATTCCCTATTCAATAAATGGTGCTGAGATAACTGGCTAGCCATGTGCAGAAGATTGAAACTGGGCTTCTTCCTTATGCTATACAAAAATCAACTCAAGATGGGTTAAAGATTTAAATGTAAAACCCAAAACTATAAAAACCCTGGAAGACAACCTAGGTAATACTATTCTGGACATAGGAATGGGCAAAGACTTCATGATGAAGATGCCAGAAGCAAACTCAAGAAAAGCAAAAATTGAAAAATGGGACCTAATTAAACTAAAAAGCTTACGCACAGCAAAAGAAACTATCAACAGAGTATACAGACAATCTACAGAACGGGAGGTTTTGCAAAATATGCATCTGACAAAGGTCTAATATCCAGTATCTATAAAGAACTTAAAAAAAATTTACAAGAAAAAAACAAACAACCTCATTAAAAAGTGGGCAAAGGACATGAACAGACACTTTTCAGAAGAAAACATACATGCAGCCAACAAGCATATGAAAAAAATCTCAATATTACTGATCATTAGAGACATGCAAATCAAAACCACAATGAGATGCCATCTCACACCAATTAGAATGATTATTACTAAAAAGTCAAAAAAGTAACCGATTCTGATGAGGTTGCAGAGAAAAGGGAACATTTATACACTCCTGGTGAGAATGTAAATTAGTTCAACCATTGTGGAAACCAGTGTGGCGATTCCTCACAGAACTAGAAAGAGAACTACCATTTGACCCATTACTGGCTGTATACCCAAAGGAATATAAATCATTCTACCATGAGGATACCTACACATGTATGTTCATTGCAGCACTATTCACAATAGCAAGGACATGAAACCAACCTAAATGCCCATCAAGGGCAAACTGGACAAAGAAAATATGGTACATATACACCATGGAATACTATGCAGCCATAAAAAGAACAAGGTCATGTCCTTTGGAGGGACATGGATGGAGCTGGAGGCCATTATCGTCAGCAAATGAACACAGGAACAGAAAATGAAATACTGCAAATTCTCACATATAAGTTGGAGCTAAATAATGAGAACACATGGCTACAAAGAGGGGAACAAAGCACACTGGGGCCTATTTGAGGGTGGAGGTTGGAAGGAGGGAGAGAATCAGAAAAAATAACTATTGGATACTAGGCTTAATACCTGGGTGATGAAATAATCTGTACTACAAACCCCCTGACACGAGTTTACCTATATAACAAACCAGCATATGCACCCCTAAGCCTAAAATAAAAGTTTAATTTTTAAAAATAAAAAGGAAAAAATATTTTGCCAAAATTAGCAAGAAGCATTTTTGCAGAGATCAATGCCAATTGGGGAATTAAGGTTTAAAAATATTTACATAAGTGCAAGTAGGAGAAGAGGAAACCCATCGGCAAGCAGTAATTTTCTTAGAACTATTAATTTGTAACAAATTGAAGCAATAACATCATGTGATGGAAGAATAACACAGTTCAAGTTCAAAGACGTGGGTTTGATTTCAGGCCCTCTCCCAGCTGTGACTTCCACAGCATCACATTCATCTGTGAAAGAAGAGAAATGCCCTGCTCAGAGGGAGTTAAATGAGACACAAATGCCCTTAGCACAATACTCATTTCTCAGAATTCCTAATGAGCAAATAAGGTAACGTGGCTTTCATAAACCTAAGAAACGCTAGCTGACTTAATGGAAGGAGAGTAGCTGGAATTTCACTTTATTTTAGTGAATGTTTAATGAGAACCTACCACATTTACTGAGAATACTCTGGTAGGACAACAAATCAAACAAATCAAAGAGAAAAGCCCTACTCTAAGAACACCAGAGAATGAGATGGTGGTGGATGGGTGTGTGCACTTCATTCTGTGAATCCTGGATTACAAGGACCACAAACCCCAATCTCCTGATGTGGTGACAGAGCCAGACAAGCAGTCTAAGGCCTAGGAAGGACTTTCTCTAGAATGAGACTCTGCACATGACAGATGGTGTCTTCCAGGAAACTTCAGGCCAAACTTCTCATGATCCCAGAAACCCATAACTCTAGTCACACATTAATTACTTTTTGTCTTCAGAGAAAGAAAAAAAAAAAAGAATGAGCAAATTTTGACCAGTGTCTGCTCTGAAATGAGTTTCACCAAGAACTATCTGTTGGAGCTTTCCAGGAAACAAACTTCATGTATTAAAACAAGTGGAATGTGTAATGTTTCCAAACTCCTAAAAGGAATCTCTCCCTCTCCATAAATTATGCCCAGCAGCTCTGTTAATGTCGCAACCGACAGAACCAGCCCCCAGGACCGGCCCCAAGTGAGATAAGGAAATTTGACCAGATTCACCAAACTCAATCATTTCTGCTCAAAAGAAACAGAAAGAAAAAAAATTCAGAATACCTTTCCATTTGAAGGAGCCTCCCAGAAGAGATTGGAACTTTCAGGGAATGCCCTCTCCCTTCCTCCTTAAGATTTGTGGCGCGGGGAGAATGAATCCACTGAGGACTGTGAAAAAATATTCATCTTCCAAGCAAAAGTCCTCTGAACTCTGCCTAATTGTTTACCACAGAAAATAAAGGGACAGAGGGCCGACTTTTGATTGCTCTCTCAATCTATTTGGGTCCTGACACTTTGGCCTCATTGCTAATTTTAAAAGAATAAAAATTTGGCCCAACACAAAGAAGGAAGTCATTGTTGATTTGAACATGTGCCTAAAACATAGGAACACAGCATGAAGTGGATGGGTGCTTCACAGGGCAGGTGGACAGGATGCAAACCCAGGACAGAAGGCTGGGCTAGATGGGCTCCAGTGTCCAGGAAGCCCCTGTGATTTGTGGTTTTAATTGGGTGATGCTGATATTAGAGAATAGAGCTCTGCAAGAAAAAGGAAATTCCCATGGGTGGGTGCCCATGGCAGGTTCTCTGCAGCCAGGGAAGAGGGCAGGAAAGAAAAATGAGATGGTATCCATGCATCTGCTGCATTTGCCTCCTTCTGCTCACTCCTGTCTCTGGTCTTTTGACAGAAATGCCCCAGCTCTGTGACTCTCATATAGCTCTTCATATGCAGATCATCATTCCAGTCTGACATCCATCTTCACCGATTCAGGGAGGCTTCCAGGGACCACCTGTCCTCATTGTTGTGTTCTATTTGCATGATAGAACTTTCTGGTCTCTTAACACTGACCTTCTTTTGTTTGCATATTTACTGTGTCATCCCCCACAGAACATTGGCTCCCTTGGAGCACGGGCTTTGAGCCCAAGTTTTTGGGACCATGCCTGTCATGCAGAAACCTCCTAAGTGAATAAAGGAAGAAATGAATGAATGAAGATTTCTGCAATTTTGCCAGGGCTTTAGCACCACTGAAGAGTATTCCCTGCATGCCACCAACAGCCTGGACTAAGAATCTGATGTGATTATTTGCAAACTGACTAAAGCTATGGTAGAGAAACCCAGGAAGAAAGATAAGAAAAGGATACTAGAAATAATATGGTGCTGCTAAAAACCTGACAATCTAGAAAAAACAAGTATCCAAAGTGTCACCTCCTAACCTAATGTTAATTCCTTGCCTAGGATCTGTAGATACATGTGCATTTATGGATATACTTAACCATCAAAGCAAATAATCTCATTACTTATTTGAAACGCAAGAATGCAACTTTTTAAATACTCCTCCCAATTACTTAACTGTCCAGCTGTTTAGGCGATCATAATGATTCATACTGACAAAGAGGTAGAGAAAGATACACAGAGTGCAAAAAAAGCACTACAGAACCATCTACACAAGACAATACCACATTACCACAGGAGCCTTCTCTGTGCACAGCCCTCCCATAATAGAACAGCAGTGACACCCAGTGGCCACTTGTTTCATCAGGCAGTGGTCATCAAAAACAGTTGAGCCCAAACCCAAAAAGTATCATAAAACTGAATTTGAAAGGGACCCCAGAAGTTAGCTAATCTGACCCTGGTCTTAAAACATTCCCAGGTAGCTGCTCCGATTACTCCTTCCACTGCTTCTTTCCCCTATTACTCGTTTCAATAACTAAAGATTTTAAACCAAAAATCTTCATTGTTTCTCTATAAGGCATCATGCGAGGTAGGGAAGAGACAATTTCAGCACTGCCCCCTGCTTTCCTTGGCTCTTGCATGTTTAATAAGCTGAATTTGACATTTTTCCTTGAAGATAAATACTAAGTGCCTTATTATAAGTAACTTGGTGACACTGTCATTTGAATTTTGGTTTCCCAGCTTCTAATCTCTTTTTAATTTAGATTAATTCTTCATTAGTCCACCCGTCAAGCTTGCAATAAGCCCCAATTAACCAGAATTGACATGATATTAAACGTGTGTTGGGGCCCAGTTGATGGTCAATTGCAACGTTCACTTACGAGTCAGCTCCACGGTTACTACTTCTGGAAGGTTCTCTGTACAGGAAGATAAAACCCCAACTAGAAGTGCTGAAAGCTGTCTCAGAAAATCTCCTGCTAAGGATCCAGGTGATATCTGCTGTGGAAAACATGAGATGTCCCCGTTCCCCTTTTCCACAGAGAAACCATACCCCATGTGGCCCGTATGTGTTACTCATCCCTTGGTTTGTTGCAGTAGCTCTTTGATTGTTTTATCACATTTTTCAGCTTGGAGATGACACAGCCTGCCATTACTCATTTGCGTTCACAGTGATTCACTACGGTAGCACATAGTCAGACTGTGCCCAGTCACTCTCCACTCAGAGGAAGTCATAGTTGATTCTTAAGATATTTTTAGCTGTTTTTGGTTTTGGGTATTTTAAGAATTTTGCAACACCTGCTGAATCAAGCCGAGACCCTTCCCAGGTGTCATGCATCAGGGCTGGAAATCAACAGAATAAATAATCACCAACTTTGTTCTAACTCCAAATAAAGAAAATATTATGGAATTAAAAACCCTAAGATTTTGGCATGGGACAATGACACCCTTTGGTTCCTTGCTTGTTCTCTTGTTTCCTTTCTGCCTCCAATTATATCATTTGTGCAGCAACCCACTACACTAGCCAAAGGAGAGGAAGGCAAGAAGGAAGAAAGGACAACACAGTGCCAGTGACTTCAGGCTAAGGCTCCTTCCATGAGCAAAACAGACAGACAAGAAACAGCACCACACCTTGGAGTGGGAAATATTTGCTTCTAGAATGCTATGGATAGTCTCATTCGAGATTTGGATGGAAGAGCGAAGCTCCTCAGTCAACTTGGTGATATTCTTCATCAAATCTTTTATTTTTACATCTGCAAAGTAAGGAAAATAAGAAATTTGTGTAATAAAGGTTTAGATCATTACTGACTGCGAAAACAAAATTTGATATTACAACCTGGCTAGGATAGTTTCTTTCACACCATTCAACCCATAAATCACTAAATAAAGTCATACCTTACTCCCCTGGGAATAACTTAAATAATTTATATGACAATAAACCAAAATGCCAGGTTCTGTGGTATTTTCTGGTTACTGGTCTACTCTCTCTAAGGCCTGTATGTTTTAAGAACATTTACTTTAGAAAGAGTTTCTTCTGGCTGGGTGTGGTGGCTCACACCTGTAATCCCAGCACTTTGGGAGGCCGAGGTGGGCAGATCAAAGGTCAGGAGTTCGAGACCAGCCTGACCAACATGGTGAAACCCTGTCTCTACTAAAAATACAAAAAAAAAAAAAAAAATAGCCGGGCATGGTGGCACATCCCTGTAATCCCAGCTACTCAGGAGGCTGAGGCAGGAGAATCGCTTGAACCCAGGAGGCGGAGGTTGCAGTGAGCCGAGATCACGCCACTGTACTCCAGCTGGGTGACAGAGTGAGACACAAAAAAAAAAAAAGAAAGAAAGAAAGAAAGAGCTTCTTCTTAGGGAGCAGTGACCAAGTGCTATAAGAAACTCACTTGTATACATGCATCTACTCATCTCACTTTTTTAAGAAGAGAGGGATCATTTAAGTATTTGCCAGAATTCTTCAGACATGGCATGTTAATGCTACAAGAAGCTTCATGAGTTGACAGAGTGAACAGCCAAGGAAACAGAGACACACAGACATCAATTGCTTGTCCGAGGAGGCAAGGCCAGAGCAAAATCCAGACCACAGAAGCTTCTCTTTGTTCCTCTGCTTCAACATGGTACCCTAGGATTTCAGGACTTTCTTTATAAATGCCAAATACATCATACCAGCCAAGTTGTAAATGATTATGTATCACATATAGCATAAATTTTCTGTTGTATGTTTTATTTTAATAATATATTTGCATGAGAAACTAAATTTAATTTTTAATCAAGCAAACTTGGAAAACCACATACTTACCCTCAGTTACTGTGAAATTGCTGAGAAAAGTCATGATGGGATTCCCTGATGACCAAGTTTCCTCGAGGCTTTTGGCCAACCTAAAATGGCAGAAAATTAAAGCTAAATTAGGCAAGCTAAAACATCAGAAACAGTGTTGGAATGAATAATACTGCCTCAGCTCCCAAGAGATGGACTGGATAACAAGATCACATTTCCATAAAGTTCCTGCAACAATTAGACCCACATGTCTCCCAATACCATCTGTATGTGAATATCCATTAATACTACCCACACTCCAGTATTTCTTTCTCAGAGCTCCTGCCAACCGAGATGAACCAGGGGAATGAGGATGCATAATAAATGGCTTTTCACAACTGTGAAGAGAATAGATAGGATAGATCATGGAACGTACGAGAAATTAGGATAGCCAGGGTCAGATGAACATCATTCTTTCAGTGAAAAAGTCACTTGCAGAATTTAAAGTTCCTTATTTCCCCTTCTGGTGCTTTACACTTTCAGAACACTAAGCAAAATTGATCAAACATGAAGGTAATTTGAAAAATATTTGCGACCGGGTGCGGTGGCTCAGCCTGTAATCCCAGCACTTTGGGAGGCCGAAGGGGGCGGATCATGAGGTCAGGAGATGGAGACCATCCTGGCTAACACGGTGAAACCCCATCTCTATTAAAATAAAAAAACAAAATTAGCCGGGCATGGTGGCGGGTGCCTGTAGTCCCAGCTACTCAGGAGGCTGAGGAGGGAGAATGGCGTGAACCCGGGAGGTGGAGCTTGCAGTGAGCCGAGATCGCGCCACTGCACTCCAGCCTGGGCAACAGAGCGAGACTCCATCTCAAAAAAAAAAAAAGAGAAAAGAAAAGAAAAATATTTGCTGTTCAAACAGAAATTTATTCATTTATTTATTTAATTTATGAGACAGGCCCTTTATCTGTCAGCCAGGCTGGAGTGCAGTAGCACAATCACTGCTCACTGCAGCCTTGAACTCCTGGGGTCAAGCAACCCTCCTGCCTCAGCCTCCTATGTGGTTGGGACCATAAATGCACAGCACCAAATCCTGCTAATTTTTTTGTTGTTGCTTTTATTTTTTAGAGACAGGGTCTTGCTATGTTGCCCAGGTTGGTCTCAAATTCCTAGCCTCAAGCGATTCTCCCACATCAGCCTCCCATTAGAGGGGATTACAGGCATTTGCCACCAAGCGTTGTGGATTACATTCTTATATCTAATATCTTTATCGCCAATAAAGTTAGCCTTCTGATTAATGCTGCTGTTACATTTTACCACTCAAAAATTGTCATGGAAAACTTTGATGTTTGGAAAATATATATTAATATGCACATTAAGAGTATATTATACAGACCACTGTCTGAAATTCACATTTTAAAGAGTCCTAGACATCCTCTCTATGAATGGAAGTACTGGGGAGGGCATGAAAGAATATCAGAGCATACATGTACAAGTGCTGCTGCACCGTCTCCAGCCTCGGCTGGCTTGTGCAGTCCTGGCCAGTGGCATTTTCCAAGCTGCTCTTGAAGCTCTCCAAGGTGCTAGAAAGATTCTTGCTAAGACTTTCACAATTTAGCTGATTCGGCGAGGACCATATCTTTTCAATTTCCTAGAAAACATAGCAATGATATAGGTTAGAAGCACACATACTTATCTGTAAGATTTTGATTTATTCTCATTAGTCTCAGGAAACACAGAGAACAATCATGTCAGTTGCTTCTGTGCATTGCAGAGTAGTAGAAAGAGCCCTTGGCTGTGGAAATACAGAAGCCCAGATTTTACTCCTGGCTCCGCTGTTAGCCAGCCAAGCAAGACAGCTTGTTCTTGAACACACAGCAGAGAACACGCAATTCTCCACCAAATCGCCTGGCTCTTAACTTCCTGAAGCTCTGTTCCTAGGAACACACACAATTCAATAGCAGAAAAACAAATAACTCAATTTAAAAAATGGTCAAAGAACCTGAACAGACACTTATCCAAAGAAGACATCAAAATGGCAAACAGGTAAAAGAAAAGGTGCTCAATTTCACTAATCATCAGGAAAATGCAAATCAACCACAATGAGCTATTACCTCATACCTGTTAGGATGGCTGTTATCAAAAAGACAAGAAATAACGAGTGTTGGTAAGGGTGTGCAGGATAGGGAAACCTTGTGCCCTGTTGGTGGAAATGCAAATTGGTACAGCCATTATGGAAAACAGTATGAAGATTCCTCAAAATATTAAAAATGGAACTACCATATGATCCAGAAATCCCACTTCTGGGTATAAAGCCAAAGGAAATGAAATTATGTCCCAAAGAGATATTTACATTATTCACAAAAGCCAAGATATAGAATCAGCCAAAATGTTTCTAAAGAGATGAATGAATAGAGAAAATGTGACATTATATACAATAAAATATTATTCAGCTGTAAAAAGAAGGAAATTATGCCACTGGCAGCAACATGGATGAACCCAGAAGATATGCTAAGTGATGTAAGTCAGCCACAAAAAGAAAACTATTACAGGATCTCATTTACATGTAGAGTCAAACTTTTTAAAAGTCAAACCCATAGAAACGGGCCGGGCGCGGTGGCTCACGCCTGTAATCCCAGCACTTTGGGAGGCCGAGGCGGGTGGATCATGAGGTCAGGAGATCGAGACCATCCTGGCTAACAAGGTGAAACCCCGTCTCTACTAAAAATACAAAAAATTAGCCGGGCGCGGTGGCGGGCGCCTGTAGTCCCAGCTACTCGGGAGGCTGAGGCAGGAGAATGGCGTGAACCCGGGAAGCGGAGCTTGCAGTGAGCCGAGATTGCGCCACTGCAGTCCGCAGTCTGGCCTGGGCGACAGAGCGAGACTCCGTCTCAAAAAAAAAACAAAACAAAAAAAAAAAAAAAACCCATAGAAACAAAGCATAGGGTGGTGGTTACCAGGGATGAACTTGGGAGGAATGAAGATGTTGGTCAAGGGGTATAAAGTTGCAGTTATGTAGAATGAACACATCTAGAGAATTAATATACAGCATGAGAATTATAGTTGCCAATATTGTATTACATACTGGAAATCTGCTAAGAAAGTAGATTTTAGGTACTGTTAACACACACGCACGACACACAAAGATAACTCTGAGATGACAGATATGCTCATTTGTTTGTAGTAATCATTTCACTTTGTATGTTTATCAAAACATCATGTTGTACACTTCAAATATATATTATTAAAAAATAAATATGAAAATGAAAAAAAAATTAAAGAAACTTGAGGCTTTTCAAAATTCACAGCCACAAACACAATGATTAGAAAGAAATCATATGTGGCTATTCCTATGTGAGGTGGATAAAACCGGGATTTGCCGTGCTCTGAAGGTCAGCAGTACAGCCTGAGAGGCTCCTGTTCTGTCCACTGCAGGTGGAGAGGCTCCTAAGACTCTGGGGAACATCTGGAAAGACTCCAGAAGTAGGTCCCCACTCTCCACATCTCTAACCCCCACCTCTAAGATTTCATGGACATCTTATCCGTATCTTCCTAGAAACAATCAGTTTTTTAAACAACCAATCATTTTGCCAAAAAAAAACCTTTTAGAATAATACCTATTAATTGACAAAATGCAAAACACCATATGTGGAATTAAATGACAAATATAGGTAACATAATATTTAAAATAACCCAGAAAACACCACAAACATATAACATCTATGTCTATAAACATACACATGAATCTATACACTTTCCCTAGTCACAGCTATTCTACCATAAATACTTTATTTTACATCATCAGAATTTATTTGCTTCATCACATTTTATTTATATCAACATATTCTTACTGATATTGGAAGCATAGTTCCAGGTTGCACCAATTATGGGAAGGTATCATATGTAGGTCAACACTTAGATAATATTTCTGTCGAAGTAAAACTTTGAATATTTTTTTCAAAACCACTGTCAATTTCTCTTGCAAAGGAAAATCATGAATCATTCAAGTGGCCAGAGGAAGCTCACAAATATATGTTCCAAGGAAATGTGAAGACTGCTGAAAAGTCAAGGTTGGGAGCTAAGCTCTGGAGGCCGCCCCAAGATGGAGCCCCCCAGCAGAGCTGAGGTAGATTTAGTGTGTGTGTGGCGGGGGGGGGGCTGAAGACTTCTCAGGAAATGATGAACGTTAATCCATGATCAGAGCACTCATGCCACTGTCACCACCGCCTCAACCAAACCACAAAATCTCACTGTGGGGGGAACTAAACCAGCCAATAGATTATTACAAAGCATGCAACTTCTTGACTCTAATTCATCTATTATTGTCATTCATTTTATAAGTTTCTTTTCTTCCCAAGTGATTTGGGAGTGGAACTTGAACAGAAATCCTATAGGACTGTTCATTCATTCATTCAAAAAATACTTATGGAGCACCTGCCAAGTGCCAGGCCCAGGCTAGGTGCCGGACTGAGAGCTATGAACACAGGAGACAAAACTCCTACCTCCATGAGGTTCACAACCCAGTGCAGGAACACTACCAGCAGACAGCTGTAGGGGCAAACTGGTCAGCATGTCACAGGTGACCTGGAGGAAAATAAGGCAGGGGTGGGGGCAGTGCTGGAGGTGCAAGAGGAAGGTGTACAACCCTCCTTATCATCATTAGGGAAGCACACTGCAGGTGCGGGAGCAGCAAGTGCAAAGGCCCTGAGGTGGGTGCAAAGGAGCCAGCGAGGTGGAGAAGAGAGTGCCGGGGAGGGCAGAAGGAGAGATATGCCACCCAGACAGCAGGACCTAGCAGTGGCCTCCCTTAGAAATCGGACACCTATTCCAAATAAGACTGGAAGACGCTGGACACTCTCAGCAAAGGAGTAACACCATCTGATGATGTTTTGGAAGGGTCACTCTGGCTACCGCATTAGGGATCGAGGCAAGGGGAGAAGGAAGGGAGAGCTGGCTCATATCTGAAAGGTGCTGGTGGAGGTGGTAGAACATGGCCAGATCAGGGAAACATTTGGAAGGTAGAAGGGAGAGTTTTCTAACTGAAAAAAATAAGAAGAACAAAGACTAAACAAGCATGCCAAGGTTGTTGTCCCTGGCATCTGAGGGAAAGAACACCAGGGGTGGGAAAAATTACATGGAAAGATGAAGAGGTTTTTTTTCAGATGAGTAAAGTTGAGGGGCCTGCTTGACATCTGAGTGGGAATGCAGCTGAACACATGAGCATGAAGGTCAGGGGAGGTGTTGGCTGGAGAAGGAAATTTGGAAGTTGTCAGGAAGTAATTGGGATTTTTAGGTTGCAAATGAATCTGCATAAGATTCCCTAGCATGTGAGCACAGACTGAGAACAGAAAGGGTCTGGAGACAGCCTGGGTCCTTCTGCCACATAGAGGAGCCAGGTGTGGAATTGGAGACAGTCGGTCAAGGATGCAAGAGGAGCCCAGGGAAAGTGCCGGGAGCTGAGTGACGTGGGGATGGGCGTGGCTGAGTCTGTGTCAATGCCGGGCTCAGAAGCCGGAGGTGAGGAGTGAGATTCCGCATGTGAAGGTTGACGGACTGAGCAGGTGGAGTGGTGTCTGCTGTCTATGTTAGCCGCACCAGGCCAATCTGGTTCGACTTTTACGTAACAAAGTTGTGAGTAGTTTTTCAGTTGCCATGGACCCTCAGGTCACATAACCCGGGCATGCCTGGATGAACTAGTGTGCAACCACAGGGGGAGCTGGAGTGCTCGGACTGAGGAGCAGGGATTGAATTAAGAAGCGGACATTGCATGGCAGGATCCAGGATCCAACTGGATTGAGCTCTGGCATCACCCATGGCAGGACCCAGTCAATCAGATCCACATTACATGACGTTTATAAAACCTAACCCGTCCCCAGCTCAGAGGCACTACTTTGGGAACCATCCCTGGTGTTCTCCTTACTTAAATCTCATTGTTAAATCCTCCTTGGTTGTGGTCATTGGGTTGATACCCACCAAGCAACTGAACCCCTGCATTGTGTGAGTAACACCTGAAGGGGTCTGACAAGGAGTGCTCAGCTCAAGCCCGTCTCCATTTTCTAACGTGTGACAGGGCTCAAGGGTACAGACTTCTTTCCTTTCTTCACTTAGGTTTCCGCTGACTGCTCTACCAGAAGAGACACAGCCTCCTCCAGCCTTCACCCACCCACTGCCCCTAATGTGCACAGACCCCATTTATTGTCTGATGTCTGAATGTCACCACAGCAAAGCAGAAAGAAAAAGGATGGTAGCAAACTCAGGAAGAGCATCTGCAAGGCAGAGAGATGTCTAGGTCCAGCCTCAAGACTCCAAGCTACATGCACATTTCTAATAACATGCACAGAAGCCCTTGGACTTTCACACTCTGCTTTTTTCTTCTTTTCTCTTTTTTTTTTTTTTTTTTTTTTTTTTTTCCCTGAGTGTGAAGCTCTCTAAACCTTCTCCAATTCTCTCACCCAGGCATTTCAGGCTCGGTATTCTCCTTGCTCCAAAGAGATCCCTTTTTGTAGCATATCAATGCAGAAATACAACTAGGTCAGAACAATAGATACAGGTGAGTATCCCCTTAGGGGCCAACTCACTCCTGAGAACATAGATTGAATTAAACCTACTGCATGAGGGCTCTGCCATGGAGTATTCCCTTATAGCAAAGAACCTCTAGTTTGTAATTTGTAACTGCATGCAAATTAATTTTCATTCAATGCATTTATAATATTCCTGCTATGGATGTTATTCTTAAATTTAATAAAATAATAATTTTGACATAGAGGGGATTATAAAGTAGAAAAGTGCACATTCTACCCCAGTAGCAAGGACTACCGGAAGAAAAATTCCAAGTTTCTTCAGCACAGGTGTACCAGGCTCCAGGTAAGCAGAGGCATCTAGGCCAAAGTTGAGATTGAAATTCATCAGGCTATACTTTTGGGATCAGGTAAAACCACCACGTGGAAAAGGCAGCACCTATCAGACTCTCCTTCTCCGGCTACATCAGGCCTAGAATCAAGAAATGCTGGATAAGTGTATACAGGTGGACCCAAAGGTCTAGATCTAGAGAGGCAGTAGGAAGCCCCCACCCAACCTGAAGTTCCAGCTGCATTCTCCAACTCAGCTTAGCCCAGGAAATACAGTGGGCACTTGCTGTCATTTTTGAAGTTTAATTTCTGCCCCATTCATTTCCTTATTGCTACTTTCTACTATTTGGAACAAAGGGTGGAAGAGGGTAAGGAGTTGACAGCCCCAAACTTTTGTCATATCGATTCAATCAGCTGAAACTTTCTCTCTAAATGGGAATTCCATGTTGCTACTGAGAAAACTATATTTAAAATATTTATTTAGATACTGAAAACTAGCAAATGGCATTGTGCTTTTTGCCCATCTCTGTTGGCGACTTCATATCCCACAGCCTGAAAAAGATTTGTATTTCTAAAAGTCTCACATACTTGAAGCCCTTGAACCACAGACCCATCTTAAAAGCTTTGCATCCTGAGATAAGCAACATACTATTTTTGTCATTAAAGACAGGAACTTCTGCTCTTTATCAAAACTAACCCAACTGTTACCAGCCAGACTTGTTGACAATCATATAACAATTTGAACTATAAATACAGTCTTTGAGTCAGTTGCTCTGAAAGCTGGAGTCTCTTGACTATTTTATTATTATAACCTTCACTCATCACTAAAAAATTGTCTGTGAGGGGCCGGGCGAGGTGGCTCATGCCTGTAATCCCAGCACTTTGGGAGGTCGAGGTGGGCAGATCACGAGATCAGGAGTTCAAGACCAGCCTGGCCAACATAGTGAAACCCCACCTCTACCAAGAAATACAAAAAATTAGCCAGGCGTGCTGGCTGGCACCTGTAATCCCAGCTACTCAAGAGGCTGAGGCAGAAGAATCACTTGAACCCGGGAGGCAGAGGTTGCAGTGAGCCGAGATTGCACCATTGCACTCCAGCCCAGGCAACAGTGCAAGACTCCGTTTCAAAAAAAAAAAAAAAAATTGTCTGTGGGGCTTTTTTTTTTCCTGTATCCACATTTAATACCTGACAAAGATCTGCACAACCTGGAAATAAGAATTTGATGTTCTAAAAAAATCAATGTAAATTTGGGGTTGTAAAGTCAATCATTGCTAGGGACTGCTCAGGGCTTCCTGCTGACAGGCACCACTCCTCCAAAGGCCACAAGACATTGATTAGAGATCAGCAGCTCTCACTCCCTCCTGACACTTCACCAAGGCATGGCATTCGACACCCTTGCCATGCTGTGGGAGTCTGGCATGGCTATCTCTCATCTCTCTCGGCATCATCTATTTCTCTGCTTTCTGTGATAATCTCATACTCACAGATAATATGGATCACAAAAGCAAGAAACAACATTCAGAACCAGAACTAGAAGAGAGACAGGTCTTCACTGCATTGTTGGAAGGACATCACCATTGTCCAAGCTTGTCAGGGGGATCAGGCCTACCTAGGGGCCCAGGGGTCTTTAATTCTAGGACAAAGGAGTGGGGCCCAAATAAGAGACACATTGTCTGATTCAGCTATAGTTGGAGACCCTGCATGGGAGCCTATTGGGCATGTGTCCAATTTAATAAAAAGGAAATTGCTATGCTGGTTCCCATTCAGCCATCAATTTTTGGTACTAGCCAGTGTATTCAATGAGTTAGAGCCAGTGTTGGGCTGGTAAATATTTAAAAACTAACTCTCCAGAAAAAAAAAATTCTGATTTGGAGCACTTGCCAATTTCCATGGTGCAAAAGCTCCTGCATGGCCCAGTTCATGCTGCCACCATAACGTCATTAAACGTAGAGAAGGGAAGAACTGCACTTAGCACAAGACTACATAGTATTTCCATCATGTGGATACAACAAAAGCAAATCATCTCAGGAAGAGAGATAACAGTAAAACATACTAAAATAATTAGGAAGTGATGAATCTTGAGTAATTATTACTTGTGTTTCTAACATGATTTATTTCATCATAAGTTTATATAATTTATTTATAATGATGACATCTATGTTTAACAACCAGCTTGCAAAATTCCTGAAAATTTAACAATCCGATCTCTCAACTCAGTGCCACTCAACCCAGCACACCACTGGGAGAGGCCAAGAGGGAGGAAGGGTGAGCAGTCATTCTGCAAGCCCAGCTTGCAACAAGACTGTGTATGACACCATTGCTGTAGTTATAAGAACGAAGCAGCAAGTTTGAATAACTGGACTGCCTTGCAAGGGCCAATAGTCATGAACATGAAATTCTCTGAAATATTAAAGACGACAAACCTGGAAGTGGTCCTGCGCCAAAGTGACCCCTTGTATAGCAGATAAAATGAGATGCCTTATCCCATTTTGCTTGCAACTCAGAGTAGCACACAAAATGTCCTTGGTCCAGGAAGGGTTTTCTGCCAGAGGAAACACACAGAGAAATAATTAATAGACAGTCCTCTCCTGAACTAGCCACTCTCACAAAATCACTTTTTAAAGATTCAAAGTGATACAAATTCCTAAACATTTCTTAAATCATCAAGATGAACATTCAGATGATGAGGGTAAAGCTGTGCCTTTTGAGTTCCAAATGTAATAAAATAAAGATTTTGCTTTTCTGGGCCTAATTGATTTTGTAAATATTAATTATCTCTACCTCCTCAAACTGGCTCCTTTCCCTGTATCCCCTACAAGTGGGGTACCCATTCACCCCAGTTTGCCCAGGACAGACTTGCTTTTCACCTATTCTTGCATGGTTATGAACAGTGCCCTCTGTCATTCTCAAAAGTGCCCCAGTTTGAAGGATGAATTACACACTGTCTATGTGTGGTCTTCTCCATGCCCCATGCCTCACAAGTCACTTCCTGGAAGCCAGTCATGACTCTCCTCCCCCTGGTCCTCACAGCCAACCAACCTCCCCATCTGCTCAGCATGACCTCCCAATGTCTCTCCATCTGTGCGTCTGTCCAGCACCCATAGATCACGCCCAGGAAACTGCTGTGCTCTTAACAGTCCCACTCCCACCTCACCCTTCCAATCTGCCTTACGCTCTGATCCACAAGGCTCTTCCCCAAAGGAGATCCCCCATTACAGGAATCTGTGCAAAGGCTCCATGTTGCATCCAATGTCTTTCCGCAGCCTCAGGTGCCTCCACCTCTCTGCAGTCATGCCCTATGTCCCTCCTGTCTCCTCAAGGCCATCAGATACAAGGCATCACTCTCCCTTCCTGAACCTACGTATCTTTTAGAGTTCTGCCTCCAGACACCCACCTTTCCCAGGCTGAGCAAAGCCCCTCCCCTCCCTGCTGCGCAGATGCCTGTGTGCTCACCTCCCACCGCACGATAAATCCATCTGCACAAGACCTGCCACGGGCAAATTTTCTTATCACTGCCTTCCTGTCATTGTGGCACCTAGCACAGGGCTTTGTACCTCCTAGATGCTTGGTCATGACAGAAAATAAAATACATTTTTATAAGAAATAAAATCTTTTTTTAATTAGAAAAAAAAATGTTATCCTGACTCTTAAATTATGAATAATAAATTGTTTCTCAAAAGTCCTTTATAAAAAGTTCTGAGCCAGGCACGGTGGCTCACGCCTGTAATCCCAGCACTTTGGGAGGCCGTGTTGGGCAGATCACGAGGTCAGGAGATCGAGACCATCCTGGCCAATGTGGTAAAACCCCGTCTCTACTAAAAATACAAAAATTAACCGGGCATGGTGGCGGGCACCTGTAATCCCAGCTACTCAGGAGGCTGAGGCATGAGAATTGCTTGAACCCAGGAGGTAGAGGTTGCAATGAGCTGAGGTCGCACCACTGCACTCCAGCCTGGGCGACAGAGCGAGACTCTGTCTGAAAAAAGGAAGGAAGGAAGGAAGGAAGGAAGGAAGGGAAAAAACAGTTCCAGCATATTACTAAGTGAAAGAAGCCCATCTGAAAAGGCTACATATTGTATGATTTCAACTCAATGACGTGCTGGAAAAGACAAAAACTATGGAGACAGTAAAAAGATCCGTGGTTGCTAGGGGCTAGAGGGGTGGGAGAGATGAATGGGCAGAGCACAGAGGATTTTTCAGGCAGTAAAACCCTGTGTGTGATACTGTAACACTGGATGTATGTCATTATATGCTTGTCCTAACCCATAGAATGACAACACCAAGAGTGAAGCCCAATGTGAACTGTGGACTCGGAATGATGCTGTGTCAGTGTGGGTTCATCAATTGTAACAAATGTGCCACTCTGATAATGAGGGAGGCTATGGTGGGGAAGGGAGTATATGGGAAATCCCTGCACCTTCCATTCAAGGTTGCTGCGAATCTAAAACTACTCTAAAATATAAAATTTATTAATTACTAAAACAGTTTTCAACCACATAAAATGCAGAGTAGACACAATATATCCAAAGTCATGCTTTCCAGAAGCAACCCACCTTGATGCCTTATTTGTTTTTCTTTTCTCATTAATCTTATTTTACTAATTTCAAAGACAGGTATCTTTATTGTAGGAAATATAAAATGTGTCACTTAAGTAATCTCTTATTAAAATTTGAAATGAAGGTAATAATGTGCTGTTATATATCACAGCACTTATCTTTAAGCATAAACATATCCTCTGGTCTCGGGAAGACACAATAATGTGTTTATAAGTTATGTTGTTCAAACCTAAAAGAGCAGAGAATGCACCCTGAAAAAGCTGATGTAATGTATGGCATCAGGCAAGCTGTGGGCTGTGTCAGCCCCTTGCTTCCTCAATGTAAAATGACAACGTGGAGTCGACAGTGACCAAGCCCAGCATTCCTGCAAGGTTAGGTCAGGGATGATATGATCATGGGATGCAGTGCTGGGCTGTCAGGCCATCTGGCCTCCATGTGCCTCACATCTAACACGTCTTGAAGCCTGCCCTCAAAGGCACCACCCTCAAGGACACTTGACAACTGTCTCGACACTAACAAGAGCTGGTTTTGAGCCTTGACTCCTCCAACTTTCCCGGGTACCCTCTTTCTCCACCTCTCATTGCCTCTCCCAATCCCTGGCTCCAGCCCTTCCTACTTGCTGTGGCCCCTCTTCTTGGCTCCAAGGACACATTCAGACCCACTCTGGCTTTCCAGATCTGCCAGCGCTCTCTGGACCCCTTTCCTCTCCTCCCTTCAGCCCCATGGACCCTCTCAGGTCTCTTCAACTGGAAATGGGCTCTGACTGCTTCACTCTGAAACCCTGGGAAACTCACTCTCACTCTCTGGGCCTCAATTCGTCAATTAGGGAAACTGGAAGATTAAAGTAGCTGCCCACTGAGGCTCCTTCCGTTGCATGAGCTCTCCTGCATTGTCCTTGGCATCTTTAAAGCACTAGATCAGGAGAAGGAAAGTTGTCACTTTCCTCCTGGAGATACTGAACTCAACTCTGTGATATGACGAAAATATAGTGCATTTTCAGCAACAATAATAATAACAGATCTTATTCTTGTTCCCTTTATATGATGGGAGAGGAGGGGCTATTTGCCCACATTGGTCAATTCCACCCCATCCCTTTAACTTTATGGGATCTGTCACTGCCCTCCTATTCTACAGGATGGAGTAACAATTCAATAAGGACAGTGGGGTGGCAGTTTAAATGTTAGTTATGCTTGAGTTTCCTTGAAATAAAATATAAAAATTAAAAATTAATTATCTGTTACTAATGTAATCTCAAGTATGCTATATTAATTTAGCAGCTGCAATACAGAATGGCAAAATAAATATAAATTCATACATTAATGAATGTTTAATTCATTTAAAAACCATTATATTAGCTGACTGTGAAATGTCCAGATAATTGTGTCTTCAAACGTGGCTGAATTCAATATGGAAGATAAGCATTCAAGAACGAGGAAGAAGTTTGATTTGAATTTTACCTGAGCACACTTCCAAATGCTGAAATCATGTACCAACCATCCTAACTTGTACTTAGATTGTAACACTTTACTGATTTCTATTTGACAACAGAAAGCAATATTCCTAATCACCAATGTTCATAACATCTAATTGGAAATACAGATTATCTTAAAAGAAAAAAAAACATGCAAAACCCCTACACAGCAGTTGGGGTTTCATTTTTAAATCAAGCTTGTCCCACTTCTCCCTCTGTTTCTTACTCCTTTTCCATGTTTCTTAGACCCAATGACCAATCAATTCTTCTGTTCAAACAACCATTTGTATTACAAAAAAAGGGATGAGTGAGCAGATTAGAACTAACCCTGTGATAGACAGTCCCTAAATTACCAGTTTTTACTTATGAACTAGCCCTCTAAGCTGAGAAGTAGTTTTCCCAATGGCATGCAGGGAGATGCATCTTCAACTTGCAGGACAGGGCAACTAGCATGTTCAAGGCATCTCCTTAGGATAAGCCCCTTGGAGGTGACTCATTTTATTTAATCCTCTCACATAGGTTGAAATAGGTGTTCCCCTATGTTTTCTTCAAGGCTCACAGAGATTCAGAAGCTACCCTGTGTCACTCAGCATGAATCAAGGAACTCAGCCTGTTCAATCTCAAAGCGCCTGCTTCTTCCATTACAGCACTTCTCACGACATCACTTGTTTTAACAGTCATGTTTGACTCTGCCCTCAAAGATATTTGGGGCAATAAAGCCTTACCAGTCATGAAGGTGTATAATCCTGAGTGCCCCATCGTGACAGTAAGGAGGCAGCCTTACAGACCACGAGTCCCAGCACACTAGTCTGAAGCCCATCAGTGATTGTGTAGATTAACTCAAGCAGTCACAAGTGCCCAACCTAGTGCCAGCCCTCATGCATTGACCTATCCAATCCTTCTACACATATTGATTGAATGCCTATCATGCCTATGTCAGTATGTTTCCTAAACCCTGGGAAGATATAACCATGAGCATGGCAGACACACATCCTCACTACGCAAGTCTCACCTGAAATGTCCTCACCCTGAACTGCACCCTCAAGGTCTTCTCCTCTCCTCCACCCCTCACTCTCACCCTCATGGCCATACTTTAGCTTCTTTCTAGCACTTATCAATACAAAGAAAAATTTATCTTTTTTGTTTTGAAAAATGGATTTGACATGCTGGTTCTGCCCAAGGCTCATTTCTCCTCCATACCGCTCCCCAGTAGATGCTGGTCCATACTCCTGGCTCACAGACTCAGTGGCCCACACCCACCAATTAGCCATCCTGGGGCCGGTAACCCTTCCTCTTCTGATAGTGGATGTTGGGAATACGTCCACTGTGCCCCTTCCTGGGTAAACCAGACTCCTCTCTACAACATCCTCCCCAGGCCCCCACAGTTTGCTCAGTCGTACAAAATAGGCCCAGAACATGCCAACAGCCCACCCACTACTTCTCGCTGCTGAGCACTCCCCCATGAACAGATTTCACATTTGGTAATTCCAGTGAAACATGACGTAAGTATAGAAGAGCTTCTGGCACTTATTCATTCATTCAACAAATGTCAATCAACATTTCCCATGTTCTAATCCCCATGTGCCAGGTTTGTAGTGATCAATAGACAGGCACAGTCTCTGGGTTCTCACAACTGTAGAAGAGACACATGTTCATCATCAGAATAGCACACGGTGGTAAGAGCCATAACAAGGAGCTAAGGCCATGTGACCCCAGACAGGGTAGGTGAAGAAAAGCTTTCCAGAGGAAATAACACGTAATCTACAAATCATAATATAACAACCTGATAGTAATCGAAATAATAATAATGATCCAGGAGTAAATCAAGGAAAGGCAGAAGAATGAACATGTGGATCAGATGAGCTAGGGGGCAGGGAGTCCGGGGCCAGGATATGGAGTAAGCCCTACTCAGATGACCCCTCACTTTTTTCTTTCCCTCTTGATCTGATCGGATCCACCCTTGGCTTCCCCATTTCTCCTCGCCTCCCCTCCTCTTCTGGGCTTCGATTCATGTTGTCAAAACCCACTGCCATCAGCTAAGACAGGGTACTCAGGCCCAGTAGCCCACTGAGGGGGCTCTGGGCAGCCCTGCTCAGGAGACTGGGCCAGAGGATGGCAGCACCTCTGTGCACCTGTGAATTACTTAAACAACTGTGGTCCATTCCATGGACTCAAGTGTGCTCTAAAGTCTAATGTTCACATTTTCAGAAAAGCCCTAAGATCATCTAGTTACCCTCTAAAGCAGCTCGTGGGACTCTCCTTCAGCAGTGGCATTGAAAGGAGATTGCACTGAAATGTGCAGGAATGGATTTGGCAAGTATCATCTTAGCAGATGAATTAATTCATTTACAATATAGTCACTATTGCTGGACACTATGCTGAGTATTATGGAGACACAGAATTTAGCAAGAGACTGATCCTGTTCCCAGTAAGCTTACAGACTGCAGCAGGAAAAGAAGACACCAAAAACTATAATACCAGCAATAAGTGCCACGGCTGTAGGGAATTCAGGTTACTGCAGGGACTACTCAGCACCCATCAGGAAATGCACACAGAAGGTTATGACACAGTTTCTATCTTCAAAAAATATTGACTGTAGCAGAGGGAGGAAATGTAAGAAAGAAGAAAGTACGATACTGCACGTGATCAAAGTCTCCTCAAGGTCTTTGCCAGTAAAGGAGATGGGGGAACACTTCTGGACAAGACACCCCCAGCTCTAGGCCACAGAGTACGGCTGTAGTTTAGGTCAAGAAGACAAGGGAAGCACATTCCATGAGCAAAGACAGAGACCAGAAAACCCAGCAAAGGCGCAGGAACGGGCCGTTCAATTTGGCTGGAGTAGAGGCCCAGTGGTGGGAATGAGGTTGGGAGGGGCAGATCCCTCAAGGCCTGGTTGCCAGACTAAGACAGCTGTGCTTTGTTCTAAAAGAAACTCAAGTGCAATATACTCATCTCTCTGACACCTGAGTTCTGAAAACTGGCACAGGGCAATTGCAGAGCACTTGTTATATGAGCAGCCCACCTGCAACGATGGTGAGCACACGTACGACCATCATCTTCACTTTCTGCAGCATCTCCATGGCTTCTGAGGGCTTCACAGTCTGCTGGAAAACTTCACAAATCTCAACAACACTTAGCAAAAAAATATATACAATGACATAAAAGGGTAAAAATGTGCAACCCATGTGCATCTCTACTGTGTAGGTTAAGTTATAACACACATGTAAGAACCATCCTCCCTCCCTGCATAATCATATTTTCTTCATAGGAACATAAGAAAACACAGATAACACATTCTGGACCTTTAGAAAACTTTAGGTCTCCAGAATTATTTCAAAGCATCAATTTTGTGGCCAATAAGCTTAATACTTGCTTTTCTTTCTTCTTTTGTTCTATTCTTTTGAAATGCAAAGGTAAATGTTGAAAAGGTGTCAAAACATGATGGTATGAAGAGCTAAGGTATAAACTCCCTCTGTGGAGAACTGAAAAATTTGAGATAAAACCTGAGATTGGTGGAGAATGGGGTTGCCAGGACCACCTCAGCTCAAAAGACAATTCAGAGAAGAGCACTAAAGTCAAACAAAATATAGTTTGACATCAGAAGCAAGGAGGAGATGAAGAAGGAAGCTCTGAAAACTAGCAGTCAAATTCCTAGGTAGCAATAGTTATTTGTGCCAGTGGCTACCTGTTTCACCAACTAAAGACATCTTTCCAACTCATAGAACATGACTGGATTCAAGGTACATCTCTGGAGTAATAGAACCAACAGAAAATAAGTCAGCCTGCCTGGCAAATGAACCAGGGTTGACATGGCATCTCCAATCTCCATGTGGGCCAGAGAGGAAAGCAGGGAGAAACAGAGACCAGGGACCACCCTAACAGTATTTTCACCCACAGAAAGGACAGGTAGGGACAGCTGCAGCATCTCTGGGCCTCTGCACATCAAGAGGCACAGGGTCTCCAACCTAAGGCAACAGACTGCTTCCAAGGCATGACAACTAGCAAGACTGGAGCTTTTAAGAACAGGTTTCTATGGACATAACTTTCAGCGATAGGAGGGCTTGGAGGTGGATCAACCACGTGAAGTCTGGCAGAATCAAAAAAGGGCAGAAGCCAGCAGCTGCCTGGCCCTTTCCTGTGGTTAGCTACAACTGAAAGCATAATTTTCTGTGAAGCAAGCAGCTTCATGTTCTTGTGTGTATACTGAGTCATAGGACCCTTGGCTGCCAGAGGATATGAACAGAAAAATTGTTTATGCAACTAGTCTTGGGATGAGTGAATAGAATAAGAGGTTTTTGCTTCTGAGAATAAAATAACTTACTTTTGAAATATTTTGAATAAACTGCAATTATATTTGAATGCCAAATAATGAGTCGAATTATGAAAAAGAATGACTGGACCTGAATTGCTCTATGTTGAAGCCAACTTCAGAGTGTAAACAAAGTTGAAGTCAAGAAGAACTACTTACCCCGATTCACTGTAATTCCTGCATGGTTCTATTTTATAGCTACTGCGGTAGAGAAAAAAACAAAGTGAATTCAGCTTTTTAATTACCTTTGATCTGTTAGTGGGATTTGTTGCCAGTATTTAGTCAATACAAATAATCCTCCCAGGTATTTCTCCAAACAGAAAAATGGTTTGAAACTATAAGGAAAGTCAATCATCTCTTTCTTGGTTCTCTCTTCTTTTTCTGATGTGACATTCTTTCCGGTGGTTGCTTTAATGAAAATCTCAAAAAGTGGCTGAAACAAAGTTCTTGTGGAAGTTATCCATTCAGAGTTGTTAAACAGAAGTCCTTTCCTCCAGAGAGCTATTCTACTTAAAACATTATGGATTGCTTTTTCAAGTTGATGATGAGTTATATTCTGACTCAAAGGTGTGTCAAAATATAAACTTTTATTCAAATCACCTTCATAGTCACTTTTAATTCCACTGGAGGCCTCTAAAACTGTTTCTATGGTTTTCAAAAGGTTATTTGGATGCTGAGTAAATGTCATCAACACATTAGAAACATTCCAATTATCTTTCTTTAAGTTTTTCCAAAGAGCTTCTAAGGTGAGACAGATCACCATTTTCAAGAAAGATCCTATTTCTGTGCTGTTTTGTGATAATATTTTATCCAAAAAAGGGATCACTTCATGAATTATTTCCCATTTTATATCTTGAGGGCCACTATGAGTGGAAATTGGATTAGGGTATAAGAAGTCCATTTGGTTGGTGATGTTATTTATAGGAACTAAGCAACCCAGAATTTCTTCCCGTAAGTTGACAGAATCCATAGAAAATGTTTGAGTCTCATTGTTAAATGCTACCGCAAGACTCCTCATATCTTCCAAGTTCATTTTCACAGATGTTAAAAATTCAGCAATTTCTTCCAAAATATCAGAAAAGTCCTTAGATTGGTTCATATATGAGAGTATGCTAGGTGACATACTGAAAATATCAGAGTTTGATGATATATAAGGTTCTACCCCAATCATTTCAAAGGCCAAGTCAAGAAATGGCACCAACAAATCATTTATCTTTTCAAATGTGAAATGATCTATTTTTTTTAAAGTAGCTATTTCTTTCACAAGATTTTGAACACTTTGTTGCATGATGGAATACAGAGTGTCAAAGAATTTCACACTGTCCTTGGTATTGGAGATAAAATGAGTTTTAAAAACTGTGGACATCTTCCCCGAAACTTTCTTGACCAGCTTAAGAAGTTTCACAATGGAGTCCATTGATGTGGCAAGATCTCTCAGGTCAGCACTGTCATTCAACAGCATGACCAGAGTCCCAGACATTTCTAAGAGGGGTTTCAGGACGTGACTTTCTTCACTTGCTCTTGAAATAGCACCAACTAATCTCTTAGTAATTTCTAATGTTGCTCTGTTTCTTAGAGGGAATGAATTATTTATAAAGAAAAGCAAATCCGTTAGATTAGCAAGTATAACTTCTTGGAGGGTAGGATACAAAGCATAGAAGTCCTTATTAGGAGAGTGTAAAATTGTATCCAGAAGTCTTGCCATCTCTGTTGAACATTCTCTTACAAGGTGAAGAGCTGACCCAAGATCTTGATTGAGTTTGAAGAGGTCCTCAGACTTATTCACATGGAAAAACAACTGACTCACCACTGTGAAAAAGTCTATATTATTTTCAGTCTTATTTTTCATTGAAGTTTCCCTGAGAAGGGCATTAAATAAATCTTGCATGAACTTCAGTCCTTGATGAGTATCAAAATAAAATTCTCCATTGTCTAATATAAATGAACTTTTCATTAGGTGATATATAGTCTCCTTTAAACTTGAAAAAATGTTCATCAATCTGTCTTGTATCATCAGGGTAAGAAATTGATCCAGTTTCAGAATTTCTAGAATTTTATCTTTTGGGACAAAACTGTAAATATATATATATATATACTTTTAATTTAATTTTTAATACATTAACAGTGGAAATATTAAGATACATAGTGATTTATATTATTTTATTTGTTTTATAATAGCATCATGGGAAGATAATACTGAGCAAAAGATGACATGCTAAAATAATTTCAGATGAAACTCAATATTTTGTTGCCAAATAATGAAAAGAGTGAGGAATTTCATGAACAAATTCTGTTACAGTTCTTTAAACCTAGCAACTTAAAAAGCCACAAACTTTTGCTTATGAAAAAGGTTAAAAGGGCTTTTACTTAGGAAAGAAAGTAAAATGACTACAATGTGATTCTTGATGTAAGAGATAAGTGTCTGAAAAGTGGTTAGCATATTTATATTTTTCTGAGCTTTAGAAGTACTAGCAAATTGCTCAGACAGATGTATCAACATGACTAGGCTAAACAATAGCTGAAGAAGCCCCTTTCTTGTATGTTTCTCATCTGGGTGGGCTACAGGGGAGATTCTCTCATGAGAGTTCTAGGATAGATGGGAGTTATAGCCATTTTGTAATATAAGTACATCTTCTCCCAGCTATTCAATCGAACACTAACCTAGGTGTTGCTATAAAGAGATTTTGCAGATGGAGTTAAAATCCCTGATCAGTTAACTTTAAATTAGTCAGAAGGGATACTGTCCTGAGTGGGCCAGGAAAACTCTGAAAGAGGGCATAGAACCTCTGTAACTTAGAGGCACAAAACCACTGCTGGGTATTCATAGTCAGTGGCTCTCCCTTCCCCTGGTCTTCCTTCCTGACCACTGTGGACAAGGAGCTTTCACTCATGCCCGCAGCGCCCCTGCCTGCTGTGGGCGCCCCTGCCTACTGTGGGCCTCCCTTCCTGACAGTCAGCCCTACTGATTGCAGACTTACTCAGCCAGCCCCCAAAATTGTGTAAGCTGATTTCCTTGGATTAAATCCTTTGATGATTTTTGTTACTCTGCTTGAAACTTGACTAAAGCAGACATCATGGAATAAATTGGAATTTCCCTCCAGCCTTTTCACTGGCAAACTTCAAACGAGATTTTTAAAGATATATGAAAAGAAGATAATGTGATTATCAATTTTTATGTCTCTAAATGCAAATACCACAGTAGATTCATTGGGTTGAGAATACTTAAGCCCCTAGTTGGTGATTAGACAGTTAGTATAGCAATTCAAATTATGTCAATCCTGTATATGCATGTACAGCTATGAAAACTAATTTTTCAGATCCATATAAAATAGAATTCATAATTGTTTTCATAATCTAAAAATGTAAGAATAATACGTGATTAATTACCCTGGGCTGGGTTTATATTTTACTAGATGACAGTAATCAAAATTCTTTTACCTTGACATTTTGATAAAATATTTATTAAGACAAATTTACATCAAAGATCTTTCAAAGGTATTAGATACAAATACTGTTTTTGACATGTCTATACTCCAGAAAATAAAGTAGTTTGAGATATATCGCAACTGCATATATGACACAAAGCAAAAGTATACTCACCTCATCTCTGCAATAACATCTTTGTGGAAATATTTCAGCAGAAGAGATATTTTGTTCTCAGAATCTTCCTTTAGAAAAAGGGAGAAGAATGTTTTCAAAAACTGTTCTGTGAAATCTACTATGCTTCTCAGAGAGAGAACTGTTTTCCTACTAGTTTCTGACTGCATATGGTTCAAGATAAGGTTAATGAAATTCATTATTTGAAGGTCAGTATCATTTAAGTTCCAAGCTGCTTCCTGAGAATTCCCAGCTAAGTTATTGATCAAATTAATTAGGATGTTTTCAAAAAGCAGCTGAACAACTGAGAAATTAGTCAGCTGTTCTTGATTTAGCAGATGGGTAAGAAAGGCAACATCAAAATTGCCTGCTCTAGATATATTTTTTAAAGAGCCCCAAAAAGTAGCAATAGCTTTGGCTAACAAAGCTATATCTTCAGTTGAACTCTCATTGGTCACAGGAATGAATAATGTTTCTATCATTCTGGAGTAATCCTCATTTGCATATTCCTGAAGCCAGTTTTTTGTGACCAATAGAAAATCTTCAATAATTTCTAATGTCTTCAATGACGGTGAATCCAGGATTTCCAGGAAATGGGCAAACTGCAAAGTTATCTTTTGAAGAGCCATTGAATTTATACTTTTGATTCCTTTGTTCATTTCAGAAAGCAGGTGTCTGATTCTAAAATCTTGGGTTAGGTCTTTCATGATTTGTTGAAACTTGGGCCATAGTTCTTCAAAGTTGTAAGGTGTTTCACTTTTTTCAATAAAACTTGATAATGCTTCTAAACTGCTACCTGTGACATTTGCATTCTGGAGCATCATGAATAAAGAGAGTAGATTATGCGTACTTTTTTCTAGGCTCCAGTCTTCAGAAATCAATTGTACTGTCCTTTCCAAATTTGAGGAAATAATATTTTGAACAGATGTCTCTGTGTCTTCATTAATGTTAAGGATCTTGTTTAAACTACTTAGTTTGTCAAGAATATTTTCACCTGATGTAACTTTTGTAAAGTTGACATTTTTAAGTTTTTCTATGATTTGCAAAGCAACTTGCTTTATGGAACCACTAGGACAGAGTTCAGAGATGCTATCCCTAGTTTGATTTATTGAAGGTGGGACAAACGGTAATATCTTATGCCAAAATTTCTGCACAGTTTTCACAAGAGAAATGTTAACATGGAAGACTTCAGAGAGCTCCAGAAGAATAGAATTCCAGTCCACTAATTCATGAATTATGCAGACCACTTTCCTAGTTATTTCCATTCGGGAGCTTTCATTTGAACATGGTGAATCTTCACCTTGGGGAGACAGGTGGAAATGATCAAGTATACTGGCCACTTTGCCATAAAAGGAAGAAGACATGAGCCCATGGACATTGCAGGGGTCTATCTTTGAATTCTGCCGAAATCCAGAATTTGTGTGATTCCAGCACCAAACCACAGGAAAACAAGCTAAAGCCTCTGAAATAATATCTGGCTTATCTGATACTAATTCAATTGTATCCAAAAGAATTTTTATCACAATTGCGAAGTCTTCCTTGGTGATATTTGAAATGGTTATGCCATGAAGGAGTGTGAAGCTGTAGACATCCTTGAGGCCTTCAGTGATGTTTTTACCAGGTACTCCCTGCAGGAGCCTTACAGCATGAGGAAGCACATAGTACACATCTATCACAGCATCCACAACATCTTTAGGAAACAGGCGTGAGAGCTGCAGCAGATGATTAACATTCCAAGAATGTGAGCTGTCTGCAAATTTTTCCATCAAGCCAACAAGCAAATTGACCACTAAATTGCCAGTTCCCACACTACTGATATTCTTAAAGAAATCCATTAGGTTTACACTAACTTGTTCAAGCTGATCCACTAAAAGGTCTATGTCTGCCTTCTTAAGGGTACGCATGACAGAAGTTACCTTCTTCAAAGCTTGCATATAACCTGCATTTTGTGGACTAGTGTGATGAACTACAGGCATTAAGGAGTTGAACACATCCCTTATCAGTTGAATACCAAGACCTGTAGCTTTCATTATTTCAGGTGAAATTATTATTTTTGGTGAATTTTGGAGGTCATGAGATAAGCTGAAGGCAAGGTAACTAGCTAAGTGATAAATGGAATTGCCTACACTGTTTACATCCTTTTCTTTTGGACTGGTGGCAAATATGTTTAACAAGTTTTCAGTTTTAGAAGAGGAATTATTTTCCAGGATGTTAAAGTAAATACCTTTTACAAGCTTCTGAAATTCCTTCCCCAGTGTTATTAAATGAAGCCAAATATTTTGAAACTGATTAGGAATTTCATCTGACATTTCTATTGGTCTTAGAATTAATTCAGTAAAATATCTCCAATTGGACTGAGATGCAAAATCAAAGTCTGTTGTTAAGTTGTTGATACTCATCCTTACTTGCTTTGTGGAATCATTTAAAAGAGCTAATAAAATCTCAAATTTAGGTTTCTTCTCTTTTTCAAAGACTGTAGTAAGTACAATATTTAGAAAGTCAGTTACATCTTTCAAGTAAATATTGACACAATTTATATGTGAGCCATTTGATGAACAAAGAGGTTTTTTTATATTTAACACCCAAGTTACAATTTTTAATATAGAGTTCATTTTGTTTTCTATATCTCTGAAATTCCCCAAAATATTTTGAAGATGACCTTGTGAAAAACTGGAGTTAGACAACAAATACAAATGGTTTATGACATCTAACCATACAATGCATCCTTTCAGACTGCTAATTGTGTTCTCAGAGGAAAATGTGGAATTTAACGTGTCTAGAATACGTAACATCCTCTGTGAGGTATTTACATATAAAAAGCCATCTTCTAAAATACACTCAGTAACATTTTGGAAAATATCAGCACAGGAAAACAAATCTCGATCATGTGATACATTTCTAAGAAATACTATTGCTTCTCTTAGCTCAGTGATGATATTTTCAAATTTTTCTCCATAATTTGTGAGATTATTTGAAAGAAAGTCATTTATTGAATCTAGATTTCTGACTATATATTCTGAGGTACTGCTAAACTCAATGAAAACTTCAAGCAGAGAATTTAAAAACTCTCTGCTTGTACTTTCGTTGAATGGAAATGTCTTCAACTGATGCAGGGCAGCTTCCATGGTGAAAAGGGATTTCTCCACTTGCTCCAAGTTAAGTTTTTTTACTGAAACTAATGCATTACCTAAAGCTACCAAAAAATCCCTGAGATCCAGGAAGTCCTCCCAATTATGGAAGTCATTGGCTTGAGTTACATTTTTAAACAAATTTAATATGAGTCTAGCAACATTATGGGTGGGAAGTATACCCTGGCAGCTTTTAGAGACTTTCACATCATCTTCCAATTCATCCAAAAGCTGAGTGAAACCATGATGAAGAGATGTGAAAACATTCATGTCAAACTTAAATAATTGAGATATGGTTTCCCAGATTTCAGTCCACATTTGAAGCCATGAAACGGTACAGTGAATGGACATAAACTTGTTGAACACACTGACATTTGCTGAGAGGTTTGAAAAAATTTGTGCCAATGGAAAAACAAATGAAGACTCCTCACTTGTTGAATAATTTACGGAAGAAATGTGTTTATTGTCCGAAATCAAGCATTTATTATCCAATAGGTCTTCTACTGAACTGTTGAAGAATTGGCTCATATATTGAAATAAAGAAATACGAAAATCTTCATCAATTATGAGCAGCTGTTTGAGGCCTGTCAAAGTAGTGTGGATCACTTCCAGTTCTTGGCCCTCTGTAGACATGAAGGATTGGGCCTGAAGCTCCAAAAAGTTAAAAATTGAAAGCAATTGCTGACAGTAAGATACATTAGAAATTCCCCCAAGAACCTCTGCTGTCTTAAATAAAAATGCAAATGCTTTACTGATGTTTTGGAAATTAAATTGTTTTATGATATCCAAAATGTGTTTTGAGATTTGTGTAAGGAAAGTCAACGAAGAGCCTCTACTCTGAATATTCAATAATTCATAAATATATCGGTAAAATGAAGAATAAATTTGCAGAAGTAAAGCTGAATCCTTGTCCTGGAAGACATTTAGGTGTATGTGAGTCAAAATTTTATCAACTTCTTGTTTTTGTGGTTCAGAAAGGGCTGAGAAAAGATCAGATGCATTCCTGATAGCGTAGACTGTGTTCAGAGCTTCTGAGATCTGTTCCTGCTCCAAAAATCCAAATTCATGGAGACTAGTTATTATAGCCTCACTTAAACGTACAAAATCTATGTTCATAGCTGGTGATTTAGGCCAATCTGAATGGAACAACTGGGAAAAGTTAAAACTTGTACTCAGAATCTCATTTTCTGGAACAGAAAAATTTAAAAGTGTAAAGAAGTTTTCCAATTTAGCTCTTTTTCCTTTTGAAATGCCATAGGCCCATAATTCTAGTAATTTGGGATTAATTTCAAAAAGTATTAATTCTATGAATCTCAAAAGATTTTTTGGTTCCTTCCTTATCCAGTGACTTCCGAGAGTCTGCATTTTCCAAATCACTTCGTTGCCAAATTCCAAGAGTTTCTGAGCATCAGTGGCAGATGGGTCTCTCTTTAAACTTTTTAAATGATTTGTCCACAGAGAACTTATATTCAGAATATCCTCTGTGAGAGATGGGAGGCTGTGGAAACTGGGAACAATGGAGGAGTCAAAAAGATTAGGCAACAATAATTTCTCAAAAAATTCCACAAATGATAAAAGAAAGTTCATTTGTTCATCCTCAAGGGTGTGCAACTTCTTTTCCATCATTAGAAGGTGCTTTGTGAAATTTAAAGCCCTGTAATATTAATAGAATTATTTTAGTATAAAATAAAAAAATAAATTTGATTTATCAAATTTCCAAGTTAATACTCATTTATTGATAGTAAAACACAAATGAAACATTTAATAGACAACATGATTTCCAACAGAAATTAAACTAATGTGAGGATTTGAAAGTGTTTTAGAAATGCACAATGAAGTTATATATATTTAGCTTAAAATGTTTCCTACCACCAAAAAGAAAGCATTCTCAATTATTTTCCCCTGGCATATTTAACAATAATATGTATGATTATTAAAGATAAGTTTGCTATTTATGCCAGAAGAATCTTAGGATTTAATTCCATTTCAAAATGTCTTGGCATGTAAAGGTAGCACAGATAGTGGAGTGCATTAGAAACCATGCCTGTAGGGTTTCAGCAAGGTGTGGGCACTCCCAGTCCTGGAAGGCAAATTCCAGTGCTCTTTCAACAATACTATATACATCCTACTGTCAGAAACTCATTATTATATATGGGGTAGCTTATCGCCAGGTGTTTAATTTTAAAATACAGAGTTCTCAGAAGAGCAACTCAGACACTGTAAGTCCCCTCTTGTAACAGAAATCCACACTTGCAGAACTAACTTCTACTAACTCAGAACTTACAAGTCCACTTTTGACATTCTTGGGGTTACATGTGTTTCAGAATTCAGGATGTTCATCCTTTAGAAATGTAGCATGATACAGGTATCAGATATGTATTCATGCATCTCAGTGAGGGCTGGGACAGCCCTGATCATCACCGTATTAACACTTTCGCAGTGAGACCTGTGAATGATCTCGCGACGCAGGATAATACACTTGAAACTGCTTCACATCAGTTCATGATAAATCTTTGCTGAATGAGTTGTGATGTCAACCATAAGAAAAGCCTCTATTTTCAGACTTTGTAAGAGTTCAGAATTGTGGGTAAGGAATTTTTGACCTTTATTGGCTATTTATGCCTTACAGGGTAAATTACTTCCTAAGTTTTTTAACCCTCTGCTCTTGTTGTATAACACACTGTCTGACATAGGACAGACATAAGACCTATCAAAGGCAAGAATGCTGTTTACTTCCCTGATAGCTGAGACCTGAGCACCCCACACAAAAATATGGTCTTAATTTAGTTAGTTGTTATTTTTAGGACAGAATGGCTTCTTTGAAATAATTCCTAGGGAAAAAATCCCATCAGAAAAGGGAAAGTTCTATTAGGAATTCAACATAAACCTTGCCTAAATCCAGCCCTCCCTAAGAATAGATGCCTAACTACCATCCAAGTCATTGTGCCTTGATAGAGGAGAATATAAAACTTATTTGTATTGGGAACTGAGAGGGTTATGGAGTAGCAATAGAATAATAAATTGAAGTAGAAGTAGTACTACTAATAGTATTATTGCCACGTTTTTATATTACTTTAGTAATTTAGTTTATAAAGCACTTTCACAACTACTATCTTAGTTCATTCCTACAACAGCCTTTTGAAGTACACGTCATTATTTCCCTTTCATGAAAAAAGAAACTTTTTATTTTTTTAATTGACAGGTTCAAGCTGTTATTATGTGGCATGACTAGGAGACGACCCAGGTTTTGTCATTTCAAGTTCAGCTTTCTTAATATAAATTGCACTTAATGTTCAATGATTTTTCATTCATTAAATCAACATCTAATTATCTACCACTATCCATGATGAAAGACACTGTGCCAACTGCTATGGGTCCACAAATATAAAATTAAATGTGTCCTTGTGCACATATAGACTAGTTTTGTGCTGGTTTTCTAGGGCTATTAAATTTTTGAGGCTTTCAGGAAAGAGGAATTAAAAATCTGACCTAAGCAAGGAATTGATTCTCTAGAGGATCCATCCCATTGTCCTTTCTTCTGTTCCTACTAATAGCTGGGCTTAAGAAGTTCCATAGGAATGACTAATCCCCATTCTAGACAGATATAGCAGAATGGTTCTCCAACTTTGGTGTGCACTGGAACCACCTATAGAATGTGTGAAATATATAGAAACCTGGGTCCTGTACACAGAGCAAGATTTCATATGACTGGGGCAAGGTGCAGACATTTTTATTTTTAGCAGTCTTCACAGATTTAATCCATTCTCAAGTTTGAGCGTTACTGCTCTTATGCAAAACATCTCTCCCATCATGTTCCAATACACCCCACAAATAACCGAGTATACCTTTAAACTGGACACACTATTCATAACCAGACATAAAAATCTGCATTTCAATACACGTGCTGAAATAGGACAGCAGAAAATAGTCCGACAAATTTAGTTCCAAAGACCACTTCTCTCTCCCAGGAGTCTTTGAAACTAACAGAATCTATAGAATTGATTTCCTGCTTAAACTCTAGGTAACTAGCTAAGACAATTTTTCAAAACAAATACCTTATTTTTGGAGCATCTATTATAAATCATGTTATTATTGAAGGAAAATCTTCTTACTACGATCTGTATTTCCTTTCAAAATCCATTGAGTCATACATTCTATTAAACAACTTGATACTTGAGTCACACACTCTATTAAAGGAATATTTATTGAACAGCTCATATGAAAGATTGTGTCAATATCTAAATCAGGCTCATAAATTTTAAAGAGTGCATATCCTATAATTAGGTTTTGATTATCTTCAGATGATAATTAAATCAAGACCTAGAAGTTGGATTCTGATAACTTACCTGGATATGGAAGCTGTTGGAGACTTGAGTAAGTTATTCAAAAATTGAAAATAATTATCACTGATCATTTTCCAATCCATGTTTTCTTCAAAACAAGGAGATTCCTCAGGAAAAGCTAAATAAAAAGACATTTTCTACATTAATTATAAACTGGTTATAACAGACAAATCTAATAAAGTGAAAAATGCTAGAGTAGTTCACCTAATATGGTTGAAAATGTTAAAAAAAAAAAAAAAAAAAAAAAGATGAGTAGGAATCTTCTAATTTGACTTGTGCTTCCAGACAAGATGAGGTACCAGTCACTGGCCATCGAGCAATGTAATATACTGATCCATGAAAGGCAGTAAACAACAGAGCGAGACCTATGATTATCCCAGCTTGCTGCTTTAAGGGAGTCCAGGCCATGGCACAGGAAGGAGAGACTGCACCAGAGTCCAGTGGACGTGCTGAGTTGGGAAAAAGCTTAGACTCTGAAAGACAGCTAGAAACCACAGGACAGAGTGCCAGAGAAGGCTGCACAAGGCAAGGAAATTGTCAGTGTGCTTCGCTTGAGTATTCAGATGAGTAATAATCAACACAGGCATTTGAGGAAACTACCTGAGACCATGGAAGAAAACACCCAAAAGAGTTAAAGGTGTCCGGGTGTGGTGGCTCACGCCTGTAATCCCAGCACTTTGGGAGGCCGAGGCAGATGGATCACCTGAGGTCAGGAGTTTGAGACTAGCCTGGCCAACATGGTGAAACCCCATCTCTACTAAAAATACAAAAAAATTAGCCGGGTGTGGTGGTGGGCGCCTGTGATCCTAGCTACTTGGGAGGCTGAGGCAGGAGAATTGTTTGAACCCGGGAGGGGGAGATTGCAGTGAGCCAAGATCACGCCACTGCACTCCTGCCTGGGTGACAGAGCGAGACTGTCTCAAAATAAATAAATAAATAAATAATTTTTTTAAAGGATTAAAGATAACCGTTTCTGGTGCTCAGGACCAGCAATACACTTTGTTTCCATCAGCCAGACTGAAATATTCATAATTCATTAGTCATTGAGTAAAGTACAAAAAAGGGGTCTTGCTTCAGGAGTGGGAAGTATTTATCATCAAACTGAGCACTTTGCCAGTCCTGCCTAACAAATCTTAAAAACGAGATCCTAAAGAATCAAATTATTTCAAGCAATTTGTTTCAAGATTATTTATAGGCATGCAAAAATAATTAGCACAAAACAAGGTTAAAATGTGTAATATTTGGAATTCAATAAAAAATTAGCAGGCATGTAAAGAAGCAGAAAAATATGACCCATAAAGAAGAGAAAAATTAATCAATCAAAAATGACAGCAGTTTGAATGATAGAACTAGCAGAAGGGAACATTAATCACATAAAATGGTTTATGTTATTTACTTTATACTATTAGGTTGATGCAAAAGTAACTGTGGTTTTTGCTTTTAAAGGTATGATAAATTTATTTAAAAGCAATTACTTTTGCACCAACCTAATATATAATTTACATGCTCAAAAAAAGGCAAAATTTGTAAGATTGGATAAAACAAGATCCAATTGTATGCTACTTGTAAGAAATGCACTTGAAATATAAGGACATAAGTTACAAGTAAAAGGATGGAAAAGGCATACCACTCTAACACTAATCAAAAGAAAGCTATCAGACAAAGTAGGTTTCAGATGATAACATAATTATCATTTCATGATGATAAAAGTATCAATCAAGAACATATAACAATTCTAAATGTTTGTGAACATTACAACAGAGCTTCACAACACATGAAACAAAAATGAATACAAATCTAAGAAGAAATAGAAAAATGTACAATTATAGTCAAGAGATTTCAATGCTGCTCAAGACATAATATCAGTAAGGATACAGAAGATTTGTACAATACTATCAAACAACTTGATGTAATTGCTGTTTATAAAAAAATGCCACCCAACAACAACATAATACATATTCTTCTCCAGTGCATATGGAGCATTTACCAAGGTAGATCATATTCCAGACCATAAAGCAAGTCCCAATAAACTTAACAGGATTAAAGTCCTACAAAGAATGTTCACTGGTTAAAATGAAATTAAATTGGAAATCAATAACAGAAATATTTCTTGAAAATCCCAAATATTTGAAAAATAACACTTCTAAATAACTCATAGATGAAAAAAGGAATCAAAAGGAAACATAGAAAGTACTTTGAACTGAATGAAAATGAAAGTACAACATGCCAGTATTTGTGGGATGCCTCTAAAATCAGCATTTAGGGGAAAATGTATACCATTAAACACCTACATTAGAAAACAAAATGGTATCAAATTGATGACCTCATCTCCCATGCAAAGCAATTAGAAGAGTCAGTTAAACCAAAACTAAGTAGAATAAAGAAAGAAGAGTGGAAATCAAGGAAGTAAAAATAAAAACATTAGAGAAAAATGAATGAAATCAAAGGCTGGTTGTTTGAGAAGATCAATAATAAGATTGATAAGCCTCTAGGCAGAGTGATCAAGAAAAAATGGCACAAGTTATGAATATCAACTATGAGAAAGGTGCTATTACCACTGATTCTATACAAATTAAGAAGTTAATAATAGAATACAGTTTAAAAAAAATCCTTATGATACTAAATTGAACAACTTGAGTGGCCCTAATGTATATTAAAAATTGAATTTGTAATTAAATATCTTCTAATAAAAAACCCTAAAAGCCTAGATGGCTTCATTAGTGAAATCTACCAAACATTTAAGTGAGAAATAATACCCATCCAACACAAACTCTTCCAGAAAATTGAAAATAAGAGAATACTTCTGAATAATTCTATGAGGTTATGATTACCTATAAATATAAGACAAAGACAAATTTTAAAAAGACTACTAAAGACCACTGCCCCTCATAAAAACTGATGCAAAATGTTAAACAAAATTTTAACAAATTAAATCCAATAATAGATAAAAAGGTAATATATTTTGATCAAGTGGAGTTTATCTCAGTTATGCAAGGTTAATTTAACATTTAAAATAAGCAATGCAATTTACTATATGACTAGAATTTTTACAAAAACTAAATTCAAAAAAATTAAAAAGAAAAATCATCTCAATAGATGCAGAAAAACATTTGACAAATCTGACATCTATTCCTGATTAAAAGCTCTTGCCAAAGTAGGAATAAAAGAAAATTTCTCTAACCTAATAAAAAGTATCTATGAAAACCTATAGCTAACATTACACTCAATTGCCAAAGATTAAATGCGCCTCTTCCAGGATCAAGGAAAAGACAAAGATGTTACCTTCCATCATTTCTATTCCATATTATACTAGAAGTTATAGCCAGTGTAATAAGAATGAATAAAATAAATAAAAGACATACAAAAACAATTAAACCATCTTTATTCACAGATAACATGATTTATAGACAATCTGATGAAATCTATAAAAATACTAAAAAGTAAATTTAGCATGTTTGCATGATACAAGATGAATTTACAAAAATTAAATGTATATTTATATATATTTGTATGAGCAACAAATTATTGAAGATCAAAATTTTTAAGAATCAATTTACAAAAGCATTTAAAGTATTAAAATCTTAGGGATAAATCTGAAAAAAGACGTGAAAGACTTTTAGAATGAACACAACAGGATTTGTTAAGGAAAAACAAAGAAGACAAAATAAATGGAGAGATATACCATGAGCTAGAACATTGAAAATAATTAAAAAGTTAATTCTCCCTTAATTCATCTATAGACTCAATTCAATCCTGGTTAAAATTCCAGCATAATTTTGAGAAACTGACAAGCAGATTCTAAAATTCATATGGAAAGGCAAATGACCTAGAATAGTTAAAAACATTTTTTTTAAAAAAAAGAACAAAATTAAAGGTCTAACACTACCTAAATTTAAGTTTTACTGTAAAGCTATGATAACCAAGATAGTTAATTTTGGTATAAAGATGGACAAATAGAACACTGGGATAAAATACAGAGTTCAGAAGAAGACCCACTTATTTATACAACTACTTTTTGACAAAAATACAAATGTAAGTCAATGGAAAAAGAATAGCCTTCATAAAAAATTTTGCTGGAGTAATTAGGTCCCCTTATGCAAAAGTAATCATAATAAACTTCAGTATATGCCTACACCACATACAAAAATTAACACAAAATGAATTATAGACCTAAATTTAGGACATAAATCTATTAAACTCATAGAAAAAATATATAGGCAAAAATCTTTGCAACCCTGTGAGTTAGCAAAGGTTTCTTAGCTACAACACCAAAAGCAGGATCTATTAAGAAAACAAACAAAAAAAATAAACAAAATATCATCAAAATTAAAATGTTTCTCCTGGATTACTTTGTTAAGAAGAATGAAAAGACAGTCCAGAGGCCAGGAGGAAATATTTGCAAAGCGTATGTCTGATAAAGAGTTTGTATCCTGTATATACAGGAAAATTATAAACTAAATAATAAACAAATAACCCAATTTAAAAAGTGGGAAAGATTTGAATATACAATTTATGAACAAAAATACAGATGACATAGAAGTCCATGAAAAGATAGGTGTTCAAAATTATTACTCATATAAACGAATTAAATCCATAATAGCATACAACTACACATCTATTGGAATGACTAAAATTTAAAAGACTGATCATACCAAGTGTTGGTAAGGAAGTGGAGGTATTTTAACTCTCATGCACTGCCAATGGGAGTGTAAAAGGGTACAATGACTTTAAAAAACAGTTTGTGAATTTTGTAAAAGGCTAAGCATACAACTCCCACATAATCAAAACATTTCAATTTTAAGGAAAAGAAAGTATATTTCCAAACAAGACTTGTCCGTGAATGTTCACAGCAGCTTTACTTGTAAAGCCAGAAAGAGTCAGCAACCAAATTGTGAATTGTGTGAATGGATTGACAAACTGTGATACATCCATATGATGGAATAGTACTCAGTGATAAAAGGACTGAACACACTACAACATGAATGAATCTCACACTAATTAATGCTAATTAATTATGCTAAGTAAAATAAGTTAGACAAAAAAGTACATACTGCATATGTCCATTTATAAAAATCTCTACAAAATGAAAACTCAAATACAGTGACAGAAAGCAGAGCAATGGTAGCCTGGTGACAGGGCAGGAAGCCGGAATTGACAATAGAGAAGAAGCTTTTGGGAGTGATGAAGACTTTCACTGTCTTAATTGTGATTACAGTTTTATGGATATATGTATATGTCAACATGGATGTGATTACTACACATTGCATGCCTGTATGAAAATATCTCATGTTACTCATAAATATACATGCCTACTATGTATCCATAAAAATTAAAAAATTTAAAAAGCTCAACAGTATCAAATAATTTTTTAAACAAAATAGGTAAATAAAATCTTCCATATCAAATTCCCTGGCCATTAGTTGTAATGCCTTAAAATTTTGACACTCATTTCGGTGAGGAAGAAAAGGGTACTAATATTAATTGCATGTGCCTACGATACTGTGCTAAGCATTTTAGAAACATCATTTTATTTAATCTTCATAAGAACTCAGTAAAGAAAACTATGTAAATTTTTATTTTACCAAGGGTAAAAGTAATTAAGAATCTGTGTCAAATGCAATGTTTGCTACCAAGTCCATCTGCTTCCAAAACCCATGCCAAAACACCAAACAGTTCATGCTTTATCTGCATCATAAAACTGCACTCCATGAATTTAAGTAACCACAGATAATGTATTGACTAGAATAAATGATGTCTCTATTATACCACATACTTATCATGTGTAGTTGTTTTGTTTTGTTCTAATAGGAAAAGGAGGAAATAAAGAATGTATAACCTAATGATGAATGCATAACAACAGCCAGTGCTTCTCAAACTTTCCTGTGCTTACAAGTCATCTAGGCGTCTTCTTAAAATGCATACTCTGATTCAGTAGGTCTGAGATGGGGCCACAATTCTACATATCTAACAAGATCCAGATGATGTTGATACTGTGGTCCAGGGATCACACTTTGAGTAGCAAAGATGTAAGCAAATCAGGTGTGCACAATACATGCAACACAAGCAAAAGAGAACACACAGTCTATTAATTTACTTCAGTTATTATTCATCTCACCTTACCCATGTCTGTGTATCATGATGAAAAATTTTTATGATACATTCATTTACTCAAAGCTATAATATTTCAAAGTTCAACATGGAAAGATTTGTGTGTCTGATGTCTGTGAGGAGACTATATCAAGCAAGTATTTGAACACTCTTCTTTCAGTTGCTAGCTGTCAAATTCCACTCATTCCACAAGTTCTGGTTCAAACAACTCAAATTGTTATCTGCTCTGTACACCAGACCTCTATGCTGACATACACCTCTAAATGTGTGTATAATTCCCACCAGCTTGGACTTTCTTAGGACTTCCCTATCAAGCTGTGGAATATCCAGTGAAAAGTAGAGCCAAAACACCACTGAAATGAGAGTAGATAATATAAAAATATACAACCACATAGATAAAATGAATGGAAAAGGAAACAACGGCAGATGAGAAAGAGTTAGAAGGAAGAAAGCAAATAGACAAGGGGTATATGGCATAGCAGAGAAGGAAAAGTTTAAGCTTAAACTTCAAGAAAAAGAAATCAAAAGAGGGTAAAGTTAATTTCCTTCACAGAATCCCCCAAAGTCTCATGACTTAGAGGTATAAGCATCTGACTATAAGCATGAGAGGTTGAACTAAAAATATGCAGATGGGTTTAGATAAAATTTTGAGCAAGAATGAATTCTAACACACTCTCTCCATCACCCCAGCCAGGCATCCACTCCTCTCCTATGTCAGTAGAAAGCTAGAGATTGACTAGTCTGAAGAAATAAAACCAGACTGATACAGAGCTTCCAGTAATAGACACAGCTGATGGTATGGATGTAACAACATTACTGGAAATAGTGGGGATTAATTTAACCTGTTATTTTTGAACAATGATATTTTCATCACCTCATTTTTTGTTTGTTTCCATAATGCTGGCAGTCAGGTCTATTCCTTTCCATCTGTGTGTTGTTAGCAGGTATTTCAAGAATTCTATTGTGTAAGCTTTGGAGAAATTGAACCACCTAAAAGAAAAGATGTGCAACTATGCCAATAACTGAGAATCATCTTATGGGAGATTGGCTTACTGCCCGATTATCCTAGAGTGATGTCTCCCACTTTACAAGCCACCCCCTTTGACATGGCACTTTCCATCACCATTCTAGTGCCTCATTTTTAAATATGAATGAACAGCCTAGAATCATTACAAACTGGGGAAAGTTTACACATAAAAGACAGATCACACAAAAGAAAAAAATAAAAACCAGTAGGAATCGAAAATGCTTATATAAACTTTAAAATAAAGGACTGTCTCAATGTGATAAAAGAAGATGCAACAAGAACAAAAAAACTATTTTAATGAACATATTTAGAATAAGAAAAAGTTCTCAAAAATTAAAAATATGATTTAAAAAATCTTTAAAGAAGTATTTTAAATCAAATGGAGAAAATATCCCAGAAAGTAGAAGAAAAAATATCCTAAAAGATTATAAAGTTAGGAATTCATACAGGGGGTTCAACTGATGGCTAACAGGAGTTCTAGAAAGAAAAAAACAAGGCAGGGTTTGAAATTACCAAAGAAGTAATCCAAAAACATTTTCCAAAATGTTTATTTTTAAGTATCACACTAACTTAAGTCTTCATACAATCTCAGAATATTTGGACTAAAAAAGAAACGTAAAGTTTATCAGTGAGAAGGAAAAGCGGCGGGGAAGCTACATTGAAAAATTAGAAATTTTATCTAAGGAGTTTATCAACAAGAACACTATAAACTAAATAAAGTTCTTCCCAAACTTTTTGAAGACAGGAGATAAATAAATAAAAATACTTTTCAGACATACTGGAGTAAATAGACAGGGTTGCTCACAGCTAAAAGCTATCAGCTCAGCCTAAAAATTTCAGACAGAGAGAGTCAATATATTGGCATGCTGGATTGAATATACCATGGTACATGAGGCAAACTAATTTCAAATTTATGTTTTTATGCCCAACTAAATTACCAATCAAATTTGAGAGTAAAAAAAAAAGACATTTTAAGACATACAAGCTCTAAAAATCACTTACCTACAAAGTGTTCCCTGAAAAAGTTGCTGGAAGATATGCTTCTCTAAAACAAGAGTATAAACCAAGAAAGATAAAACATAGAATCCAGGAAACAAGTTCCAACACAGAAAAGCAGAGTAGGGACTCTTCAGGGATATAAGTAAAAGAATCACCAGAGAGTGACCCCTGGCTCTAGGGGACCACAAAACTACAAATGGAGCATGAAGACCATAGAGCATTAAGTCAACAGGAAAAATAGAAGAAGACATTTATACATTTATAGACCATCTAACGTTTTTACCATATTAATATTGTACAGGTTTGACAAGTATGGGTTAAATTGGTGATTAATTCATAGAAAACTGTCAAACGAAAATCATGAGACAATTATTAACTCAAGAAAAATAGAACAGTGTGCAAGAAAGAATATGTGATCCTGATTCCCCACAAAATTAAGAAATGAACACTATTAACATAGACATAGCACTCTAAACCTGCGCATTGAATTAACAAAAATGTGATAAAACTACATTGGTAAAATGGTAAAGGTATACACTGCTGGAGGAACGTAAATTAGTTTAGCCACAGTTTAAAACAGTTTGGAGATTTCTCAAAGAATTTAAAACAGAACTATCATCAACTACAAATAAAGACCCTGCACAAAGCCTCTTTCCTCTAAAAATATCCAGAAAAGGAGTCAACTGACTGTATTCAAATTACAACACAGTTAAAGAAACATCAGCTGACACAGATGAGAAAGAACCATAACAAAAACTCTGACAACTCAAAAAGTCAGATTGTCTTCTTTCCTCCACATGACTGCTCTAGTTCCCCAGCAAATGTTCTTAACCAGGCTGAAATGGCTGAAATGACACACTTCAGAAATACAGATAAGAACAAAGATCATTCAGATATAGGAGAAAGTTGAAACTGAATCCAAGAAATCTAAGGAATATAAGGCAATGATACAGGAGCTGAAAAATGAAATGGTCATTACAAGAAAGAATAGAACTGATCTCACTCACAGAGCTGAAAAACACACTATAAGAATTTCATAATACAATTGCAAGTATTCACAGCAGAACAGACCAAGCTAAGGAAATAACAACAGAGCTTTCACGCACAAAGGAGAAATAAGATCCTTTTGGGACAAGCAAATGCTAAGGGAATTCAATACCACAAGACCTGCCTCAAAAGAAATACTTAAGGGAGTGCTAAATATGGAAATGAAAGACAGTTACTGGGCGCCACAAAAAAAAAACACTTAAGTATATAGATCATTAACATTACAAAGAAACCACACAATCAAGTCTGCATAGTAACCAACTAACAACATGATATCAGAATCATATCTGTACATGTTAATATTAACCTTGAATGTAAACAGGCTAAAACTATGCATGCTCCAATTAAAAGACACAAAGTGGAAGTTGGATAAAGAAGTAAGACGCCATATGTGTCTTCAAGAGACCCATCTCACATGCGATGACACCCATAAGCTGAAAGAAAAGGAATGAAGAAAAATCTACCAAGCAAATGGAAAGCAGAAAAAAAGCAGGGCTTGCTATAGTTTGCTTTAGACAAAACAAACTTTAAACCAACAATAATTTAAAAGACAAAGAAGGGCATTACATAATGGTAAAGGTTCAATCCAACAAGAAGACCTAGCTATCCTACATATATATGCATCCAACACAGGAGCATCCAGACTCATAAAATGAGTTCGTAGAGACCTACAATGAAACTTACACAACCACACAATAATAGAAGGAGAATTCAACACCCCACTGACAATATTAGATCAAGACAGAAAACTAACAAAAATATTTGGGACTTGAACTTGACACTTGACAAAATGGGCCTAACAGACTTCTACAGAATCCTCTACCACAAAATAACAGAAAACACATTCTTCTCACGTGCACATGGCACATACTCTAAAATCAACCACATTATTGGCCATAAAAACAATCCTCAGCAAATTAAAAAAAAAAAAGTCACACCAAACACACTATCAGACCACAGCACAATAAAAATAGGAACTAATGCCAAGAAAATTGCTCAAAACTACACAATTACATGGTAATTAAACAAACTGCTTCTGCATGACTTATAGGTACAATAAAATTAAGGCAGAAATATAAAATTCTTAGAAAACTAATGAGAACAAAGATACAACAAAGAATCTCTGGGACATAGCTAAAGCAGTGTGAAGAGGGAAGTTTATAGCACTAAACACCCGCATCAAAAATTTAGAAAGATATAAAATTCATAACCTAACATCACACCTACAGGAACTAGACAAACAAGAGCAAACCAACCCCTTCTGCACATGGTTTCTGCAAGCAAGCTAGCAGAAAACAAGAAATAACCAAATTCAGAGCTAAACTAAGGAAAATGAAGACACACACACAAAAAAACATACAAAAGATCAATGATGCAGAGCTTGGTTTCTTGAAAGAATAAATAAGATTGATAGACTGTTAGCTAGGCTAATAAAGAAAAAAAGGGACAAGGTCTCAATAAACAATCAGAAATGAAAAAGGGGACATTACAACTGACCCCAAAGAATTTTTTTTTAAAAGCCTCAAAGACTATTACAAACACCTCTATGCAGACAAACTACATAAACTGAAAGAAATGAATGAATTCCTGGAAACATACAAATTGCCAAGATCAAAACAGGAAGAAACTGGATCCCTGAACTGATCAATATGAGTTCTGAAATTGAATCAGTAATTTAAAAGACTACCAAAAAGGTCAGGCATAGTATTTCACACCTGTAATCCCAGCACTTTGGGAGGCCGAGGCAGAAGGATTACTTGAGTCCAGGAGTTCAAGACCAGCCTGAGCAGCATAGCAGGACCCTGTCTCTACAAAAAATTTAAAAATAAGCTGGGCATGGCGGCACATGCCTGTAGTTCCAGATACTAGGGAGGTTGAGGCAGGAGGGTTGCTTGACCCTGGGAGGTCGAGGGTGCAGTGAGCCTCGACTGCATCACTTCACTCCAGCCTGGGCAACAGAGTGAGATCCTGTCTCAAAAAAAATAAATAAATAAGCAACAGGTGAATTCTACCAAATGTATAAAGAAGAACTGATACCATCCCTACTGAAACTAATCCAAAAAATTGCAGAGGAGGGACCCCTCCCTAACTCATTCTATGAGCCTAGCATCATCCTGATACCAAACCCTGGCAGAGACACAAAACAACAACAACAAAAATTTCAGGCCAGTATGCTTGATGAACATAGATGCAAAAATCCTCAACAACATACTATCAAACCAAATCAGCAACACATCAGAAAGCTAATCCACTACAATCAAGTAGGCTTTATCCCAGGGTTGAAAGTTTGGTCCAACATATACAAATCAGTAAATGTGATTTATCACATAAACAGAACTAAAAACAAAAACCACATGATCATCTCAATAGATGCAGAAAAGGCTATTGATAAAATTCAACATCCCTTCATTTTAAAAACCCTTAACAAACTAGGCAATGAAGGAACATACCTCAAAGTAATAACAGCCCATCGATGAAAAACACACAGCCAAAATCATACTAAGTGGGAAAGAGCTAGAAGAATTTCCCTTTAGAACTGTAACAGGACAAGGATGACCACTCTCACCACTCCTATTCACCATAATACTGAAAGTCCTATCCAGAGCAATCAGGCAAGAGAAAGAAATAAAAGGCAGCCAAACAGGAAGAGAGGAAGTCTCCAAACAGGGATAGTTTTATCCTTGTTTGCAAGATGATACAATCCTATACCTAGAAAACCCCATAGTCTGCCCCAGAGCCCCTAGATCTGATAAGCAACTTCAGCAAAGTTTCAGAATAGAAAATCAATGTACAAACCAACAATATCCAAGATGAAAGCCAAATCAAGAACAGAATCACATTCACAATAGCCACAAAAAGAATAAAATACCTAGGAATACAGCTAACCAGGAAGGCGAAAGATCTCCTCAATGAGAATTAAAAAACACTGCTCAAAGAAATCACAGGTGATACAAACAAATGGAAAAACATCCCATGTTCATGGATAAGAAGAATCAATATTATTAAGATTTCCCAAAGCAATTCACAGATTCAATGTTATTCTTAACAAACTACCGATGACATTCTTTACAGAATTTGAAAAAACTATTTTAAAATTCATATGGAATCAAAAAAGTGCCCGAATAGCCAAGGCAATCGTAAGCAAAAGAGCAATGCTGTAGGGATTACATTACCCACCTCCAAACTATACTACATGGCTACAGAAACCAAAACAACATGGTACTGGTAAAATAATAAAAATAAAAAATAAAACACATATACCAACGGAACAGAATAGACAGCCCAGAGCCCAGAAGTAAGGCCACACACCTAAAACCATCGATCTTTGACAAAGTTGACAAAAACTAGCAATAGGGATAGGATTCCTTAATCAATAAAAGGTGCTGGAATAACTGGCTAGCCATGTGCAGAAGATTGAAGCTGGATCCCTTTCTCATCTCATATAAAAAAATCAACTCAAGATGGATTAAAGATTTAAATGTTAAACCTAAAACTATCAATATCCTGGAAGATAACCTAGGCAATATCATTCTGCACATGGGAACAGGAAAAGATTTCAAGATGAAGATATCAGAGTTATTGCAACAACAACAAAAAATCGACAAATAGGACCCAAGTAAACTAAAGAGCTTCTGCACAGCAAAAGAAACTATCAAGAGAGTAAACAGACACCCTACAGAACAGGAGAAAATATTTGCAAACTATGCATCCAACAAAGGTCTAATATCCAGAATCTATAAGGAATTTAAAAAACCAACAAGCAAAAAACAACCCCATTAAAAAGTAGGCAAAAGACATGAACAGACACTTTTTAGAAGAAGACATGCACATGGCCAATAAGTATATGAAAAAATACTCCACTGCATTAGAGAAATACAAATCAAAACCACTGAGATACCATCTCACTGCAGTCAGAATGGCTATCATTAAAAAGTCAAAAAGTAACAGATGCTGGTGAGGTTGTGGAGAAACGGGAACACTTACACACTGTTAGAGGGAAAGTAAATTAGATCAACATCGTGGAAAACAGTGTGGCAATTTCTTAAAGAACTGAAAACAGAATTACCATTTGACCCAGCAGTCCCATTATTGTGTATATACCCAAAGGAATGTATATCATTGTACCATAAAGACACATGCACACATATGTTCATCACAGTACTATTCACAATAGCAAAGTCATGGAATCCAGCTAGATGTCCATCAAGAGTTGATTGGATAAAGAAAAGGTGGTACATATACTCCCATGAAACACTACACAGCCATAAAAAAGAATGAAATCATGTCCTTTGCAGTAACATGGATGTAGCTGGGGGCCAGTATTCTCAGAAAATTAATTCAGGAACAGAAAATCAAATACCACATGTTCCCATTTATAAGTGGGAACTAAATATGGTGTACATATAAATATAAAAGTGGCAACAATAGAAATTGGGAGCTAAAGATTAGGGAAAGAGGGGTGGGCAAGGGTTGAAAAACTAACTATTGGATACTATGTTCACTACCTGGGTGATGGGATCATCACATACTGTCTTAAGTATTAATTCCTTTAATATTATGAAACTTATTTATAGATAAGGAAACTGAAGCAATTTGCCACCAAATCACATGGCTAATCTGTTGCAAAGCCAAGATTAGAAACTAATTAGTCTGACGTCAGCATTCAAGCTCTTTACCACAACACTACTCATGCTGAGAAAGCTTCTCAAGGCTGAACTACTGAGTCACAGGCACAGCCTTTCTCACTCAGAGGTTAGTGACATGACAGCTTTGAATTCTAAATTGGAAAAAAATTTCTGTATGTAGCAAACTAGATTGTTGTAGTCCAACCCTTCCACTACAAACATCCAGAAAAGTGAGAACAATATTTTTAATGATTTTTAAGGCATCAGAGAGCTACTGAGGCACTGGGAATTTGTGTGCCAACATTACAGAATAGGGAAGACAGGAGAGATGAAGTCCAACATTTGAAGCTACTTTTCCACTGTGGGCAACTGTTGTTTCCAAAACAAAAATGAGGGAAGAGAGGCTACGAAAATAAGAACTTTCAAAAGCCTCACAAGACTAGGAAAGAAACTGAAATTCACAGACAGCTGAGGAAAAATTGCCTTTAGTAAACACCACAAATTTAGCTTGATACCCCCAGAAGGCTACACCCCAGTAGTAAAAGAAGACAAGAAACAATTGAGCTCTCACAAAGTTTCATAGCATGCTCAAAAATAGTTTAATTCCTGACTGAATTAAAGCGATATGCCTCCACTCTCACTGCCTGCCAGAAACAAAACTAAAGCACCTCTGGAGGAAAAAAAAATCATGCAGAGTGTCGCATTATCTCTACATATAATGTCTGAAATGCATTTAATAAAAAGATTTATGTAGAGTGCTTTGGGTGTCCAAGGCAGGAGAATCTCTTAAGCCCAGGAGTTCAAGATTAGCCTGGGCAATATAGCAAGACCCTATCTTAACAAAAAAATAAAATAAAAAAATTAGCTGCAAATGGTGGTATAAGCCTGTTGTCATAGCTACTTGGGAGACTGAGACAAAAGGATCACTTGAGCCTCATAATTCGAGGCTACAGTGAGCTATGGTTGTACCACTGCATTCCACCCTGGGCAATAGAGTGAGACTCTACCTCTTAAAAGAAAAAAAGTTGTATAAAAAAACAATAGGAATTGGGGAAAAAAATAGGAAAAGCATACAATAGATACTGACACCCAGAAAATAAAATTATTGAAGTTATCAGGCAGAAAATATTTAGTAAAACCTATAAAATAAAATGAAAATTCTAGAACATATAACTGAAATTAAGAATTAAAGGAGTAAGCTTAATTAAACACATTCTGCAGAAAGAATTTCTTAACTAGAAAATAAATCAGAGAAAAACCACCCAGACTGAGGCATAGAGACTAAAGAAAACAGGAGGAACAATATAGAAAAAAGAAGAAACATTTGGGACACACACACGAACACACACACAGACACACACACACGTAAGTACAGTCCTAATAAGAAAAAAAAAGAAATTGAGGTAAAAGAAATATTTAAAGAAATAGTAATATGGAATTGTTCAAAGACAATAAATATATAAGTCCACACATCTTAAGTCCTCAAGATGGATAAATATGAAGAAACATTCCAGGTGTTGTAGCTCATGCCTGTAATCCCAGCACTCTGGGAAGCTGAGGCAGGTGGATCACTTGAGCTGAGGAGTTTGGGACCAGCCTGGGCAACATGGCGAAACCCCACTTGTGCAAGAAATACAAATTAGCCAGGTGCTGTGGCATTCACCTGTAGTCCCAGCTACTTGGGAGGCAAAGTCAGGAGAATCACTTGAGCCTGGAAGCAAAGGTTGCAGTGAGGTGAGATTGCACCATTGCACTAGAAATCAGTTAAGAAGATGCAACAACCAGGTAAATCCCTAATAATGCAAGAAAATGTCACACTCATTGTGAAATTTTGTGACATTTTTCTCATTCACTCTTCATCCCCTTCATGGCACAATATGCCACTGTCAGGAAGATGTGTATCAATTTCAAGTTCCTCCCTCAGTATACAAGGGAAAAAATAGAACTTGCTGGCAATATTTGGCTTGCCTAGGGGCTGCCGAAGTGACTGGTTTCTGTCTTGCCTGATGTAGAGCACAGATGAGAAAAGTGGCATAGTTTGGATGCCAGGTTGGAGGCCACTGAAAGCAGCAGTCAGTCACTGTGGCATGTTAGAGCTGCAGGGAGTCTGCAGACCTGCAGGCGGCTAGGAGTAATCAATTATGGACATAGGAATACAATAAACATCCAAGGCTTTTGAGATGAACCAGGAGACTGAATAATACATTTTAAAGCAGATAGTATGTATGCAGGGAAGTGGAATAAAAACACACACTTAGGCTTAGGGAATACACATCTTCAGAAAAGATTTAAAAGACCCTGAGCCTTTAAAACATTTTGGGCAATGAAGGTCTTCCCCTGCACAAAGCCATGCTACAAAAGCTGGGGGAAGTGGAAATTTTTTTCAAGTGTCCAAATCTCAAGAGAACGTATCAAGACATACCAAAATAAAACAGAGTAACATGAATGATTCAAAGGAACCAGATAAATCTCCAGAGATTGTCCGCTAAAGAAATGCAGGCCTCTGACTTACTTGATAAATAAATTAAAACAACTACCTTAAATATGGCCAATGAACTCAAAGAAAACACAGTGAAAAACACAAAACTAAATCTAGAAAATGGTTTATAAACAAAGTGGAATATTAGCAAAGAGAGAGAGATTACAGTCATATACCACATAATGATGCTTGGTCCCGTAAGATTATAATCGTATATTTTTACCTTACCTTTCTGTTATATAGGCTTAAATACACAAATACTTACTATCATGTTACAATTGCCTACAGTATTCAGTAGAATAACCTGTATATGTTTGTGGCCTAGGAACAATAGGCTAACCGTATACTCCAGGTATGTAGTAAGCTATACCATCTAGGTTTGTGTAAATATACTCTATGATGTTTGAACAATGGAAAAATTGCCTAACAATGCATTTCTCAGAACGCATCCACATTATTAAGTGATGCATGGCTGTATTTACAAAGAACCCGACAGAAATTCTGGAGCTAAAAAATAGAATAACTGAATTTAGAAATTCAGGCAAAAGAAAGAACCCACAAACTTAAAGATGGGCCATGTGAAACAATCAAATCAGAGGAGCAAAGAAAAAAAAATGAACACAGCCCAAGGAACTTATGAGACACCATCAAGCCAACCAATGTACACATGCAGAAGACGAGAAAAAGAGAAAGGGGCAGAGAGTGTATTTAAAGAATTAACGGCTGAAAACACCCCACATTTGAAAACTAAATGGATATACAAATGCAAGAAGTTAAAAAACTTCAAGTAGCATAAACCCAAAGAGACCCATACGAAGCCACCTCATAATGAAACTATTGAAAGTCAAAGACAAAGTGAGAATCTTAAAAGCAGCAAAAGAAAAATGACTCATAACATACAATGGAGCTTTTATAAGATTACCAACTGACTTCTCTTACATGCCAGAAGGCAGTTGAATGACATATTAAAATGTGTGAAATATACCTAGAGCTCGGCATAGAGGAAAATTTATTGTCTTAAAAGTACCTATTAGAAAATAAGAAAATCTGAAAGTCAAGAACAAGAAAAAGAACAACAATCACACTAAATTTACTAGAAGAAAGAAAATAATAAAGATAAAAAATAAATTAATAAAATAATATACATATTTAGTAAAAATATTTTTTTTAAATTCCGTTTCTTAATAAGACTAGTTATATTTCTGTGACAGTGCAAGCCTTTTCACAGAGATCAGCCCCCAGCAAGGGTCTGTCCAAAGAAAGTAGAGTGGTTAAGCTTACAGGATCCAGAGTGAGACTTCCTGGATTTGCATTCTTGACTTTGATGCTTAATACTTTTGAGACCTATGCTAGGAATAAAATCTTTCTGAGCCTCAATTTTCTCATCTGAAAATGAAATCATAATGGTACCTATCTCACAGGTTGAATGAGGATTAAACAAGATAATCATAGAAAGCACAATAAATATTTGCAATTATCAGTATCATTGAGACTTCTGAACCACAAGCCTGTTGCCACTATTGCATATCACTCTCTGTAGCCTGTTTCTGAAAAGAGTCAAAAGTGGGCAATAATAAGTGATAATGAGGACAGGTAGTATAGGAGAAAGTTAAAGTGTAGGATGAGTACTCAACCCAGAAGAACATGGCCAACTCATTGGAGAAGTTACCATCAACCCAATACTGCTGCTATACAGAAGAGTTTTATAGTGTAATCTGTAGAAAATGCAAAGGCCCATCTTACCATATGTGGATTTGATACTGAGAGCTACAGAGGGAGTATCTCTGGCAGCCTCTAAAAGTAGCAGTTTAAAAAACAGCATGAAATAAGAAAAGGCAAGGTCGTAATAGCCACAGAAAAGGAATGAGAAACTCCCATTTCCTGTCCAAGTCCCTGACGTCCAAGATGCAGGCTTTCTAAGGAGAAGCTGATAACCCCACTGTGATGGAGCAGTGTCATGGCATGCTGGAAAACCAGGGCAGAAGATAATTCCCAAGGAGAGATGGAAATAGACAACCAGCTCTAGAGTAAAAAAGCAGAGGTCAGAAGTGCAAGTTTTACATGCTGGCATCTTTCCAAAAAGTAGATCTCTGGGGAACAGGAGGACTCCCTGTGAATCATACAGTTATGAGTTTGTAATATTTATATTTTAGGGAATTTTTGGTTTTATGAAGCTGATAAGGAAAGAGGTGAGCCATTAACATAATAAAAACATACATATATATTTGGTCTAGGCCATTGTTTCCTGACAGGCACATAGCTGCTAAGACCCTTGGAATGTAGGAAGTGGTGTCTTTTTGTAGGCTAATGAATGACTGGTGACTAGAGGCGCTGGATAGCCCCAGAATGGGGGCTGATTGTCAGGGGAACCAACCCTGTAATTAGAAGGTTGGAACTTTCAGGTTCTCCCTCCTCCCATTCCCTTACCTGCCTTCTAACCTCTAGGTAGGGGAGAGAGGGATGGAAGTTGAGTCAATCACTAATGTCCAGTGATTTAATATATCATGCCTACATAAGGAAACTTCCATAAAAACCCAAAAGGACAGTGTTCAGAGTGCTCATAGGTTGATGAGGACATGGAGGTGCTGGGAGGGTGATAGGCCTGGAGAGGGCATAGAAGCTCCATGCCCCCACATACCTCACCCTATGCATTTCTTCCATCTACTGTTCCTAAATTATATCTGCTTAATAAACCAGTAACCTAGGAAGTAAGCTGTTTTTCTGCATTCTGTGACTTGTACCAGCAAATTACTGAACACAACGAGGGGTTCATGGGAATCCTGATTTATACCCAATTGATCAGAAGTGAGAAGGGAAGCCTGGACTTGGGGTTGGCGTCTGAAGTAGGGGCAATCTTGTGGGACTGAGCCCTTAACCTGCAGGATCTGATGCTAATTCCAGGCAGACAGTGCGAGAATTGAATCGAATTGTAGGACACCCAGTTAGTGTCAATGGAGAAGTGGAGAATTGCTTGTTGTGGAACAAATCCACACATATGGTCACAGCAGTGTTGGAAGTGTTGAGTGTGTGTATAGAGAAAAACAGTTTGTGTTTTCTTCTATAGGTTCATGGGGAGTTGTCCCCAGTGTGAGCATCAATCTTAATGCTAAGTAAAGTGAGAAGGGCCACAACAGAAAATCTGGACTCTTGTGAGTAGGATCATGACTAGTCTGCATATAGAAGTATTTATCACCCAAACCAGGACAGTCTTGAGAGTAAAAGCAGTCACTATTATAAATTTTGCAGGAACAATGTAGCTCAGTCAAACCAGGACTTCTGGTAAGTCTTGTCATAATTGATGAGAAAAAATTATATGAAGTAATCACAATGCCAAATTGTGCTTGGAGAGCCACCCATTTTAAGCCCCGCTTTGTTAAATAGGATGGACTCTCAGGAAATTATGTCACCTCACTAAAAGGGGAAAGCATCCCCCATTCCTGTAGTTTAGGCTACTGACTTACCCAATAGTCTGTTCTGGAAACTCTCTTGCATATTTACATATTGGGCCACTTCGCAAGTCTTCCTGATAAACTTTTTGAAGGCTTTCCAATAATATGCTTGTTCCAGGAAAAATTGTGTTTTTTCAAGTGTATGAAATATCCTGCAATCAAAAAGAATCCAGAGAAAATTAAAATTTAAAAATGATCTTGCAGATGACAGATCATTATAAATTTTTCTAAAAACAAATATATGCAAATGCATGGCAGTCCACTTATGTAAGGAAATAGAATCTTTCAAATAGTTCTACTAATTTTTTAAGTTTGTTTACAAACTCCTCTACCTCGATTTGAAAAATAAGGAAAAGCAATTTATGAGAATACATAAAATATAAGACAATAAATCAAGAAGGACAAAAAAAGAGGAAAATTAAAGGCCATAACAGGAAGTGAACTTAAATATTAAGAAAATATATATTCCCTATTTGACATATTTGACGAAGAACATCCTAGCAGTCAAGGAAAATGGAAATTGATCACACATATAATTCACAGAGTCATAAAATAAAATCAAGGCGAATTTTCTGTAGAGTTACAGCTCCCAAGAGAAGCTTCCCATTTGTACTTAGTGCACAATTTCTGAGTAATTAACAAGAACTTCCATCACATGCATACCTTGGACTTACCAGGGATCCTCAATTTCTAATGAAAGATTAAGTCAGTGGTTAAACATTAAGGGAACTCTTTCATATTTTACAGTTATTAGATGCTTTCCAACAGTACCAGTAGGTTAATATTTTTAAAATAAATTGAACCTCTTTCTATTCAAAATATAATCTACCATATTGATCTATCATTTGTGTAGAAGGGGCAGTTGAAATCATTCTGATGTCCCAATTGTTTATAAGTTTCCCACCAAACATGTACTTACACTGTGGAGACAAGCTGGTGCTTACAGTCACTAGAAAAGACATCATTCTCAGGAGAGGGATCAGCTCCCAGCAGCAGGAAGAGCCGAGTACAGGAAAGGCTTGCTTCTGACAGCTGCATCTCAAGTTCCTGCCAGTCCAAATATTCTTCAGGTATTAAAACTGACATATTTTTGTGCCAAGTAATGACCTCTTGCAAAATACGATCCTTAACAAGAAAAGAAGATATTGCTTATAATAAATAAAGCAATTCAGATGTGGGTATTTGAGACGCAGCCTTGACCCTGTATCACTAAACAAGGGGTCCACTCAAACTGTACATCAAAGATCGTGCCCTATGGCATGGTAATTATCTAAGTTATAGTTCTAGACTTGAATCTTTACTCATGTTCAGGTTAATAAGTCCAAAAATAAAACTTAATCCAATAATAAAGTAGGATGGGACTCAGTGTCATAGCTATCTGTGTTAGCTAGTTGCAACAAGTAGCCTGTGAACCAGACCCCCTGAGAGTCTCACTCTCAGTACCACCTTCCACAATTCCTCTAGGCTGAGATCTGGCTCACGTAAACCCATAGAATGCAGCTGAAGTGAATTGTGCCAGTTCTAGTTCTACCTTCTCTGAGGACTGGCAGCTCCTACTCTCCCTCCTTGCCTGTTTTTGCTTGTGTGTGGGATCCCTGGATAGCCATGTCAGAAGTCTGGCTACCCTGCTGAAAGGCCATATGGAGAGGTTACCTGGAGAAGAGACATCTTGAGTCTGAGAGGAGGATGAGAGGCCCTCGTCTCAGTATCCTAGCTAACCAGACTCCAGCCCTCACGGCCATCTGACTGCAACTACATGAATGATGCCCAGTAAGACCATCAGAAGAACCACCCCACGGAGACTGGTCAACCCAGAGTCAGAAGAGCGAGAAAATAATGTGTTTTGTTTTAGGTCACTGAGCTTTGGGGTGATTTGTTAGTGATACGTATCGTAGGCATCATCCAAAAGGCTACCTCAAGTATATGTAACCTATAAATACATAGTTCCCTGCTTCGTATGAGACTACAAGTTAGACTTTACAGATAAAAATAAATTTGAGATAGGATTTCTGCCAGGAAAGAGCTGACATCTAGTAGCAAGAAAGGTATTTGCAAACAGGTAATGTTTTTTGTGCCTGCATGCATTCACATACACTTTTCTTATTTATTTTCTTTTCTTTATTTTTTTAATAGGGTCTCACATTGTCACCCAGGCTGGAGTGCAATGGTGTGATCATGGCTCACTGCAGCCTTGACCTGCTGGGCTCAAGCAATTCTCCCACCTCAGCCTCCTGAGTAGCTGGTATTACAGGCATGTGCCACCACATCTGGCTAATTTTTGTTTTCATTTTTGTAGAGATGGGGTTTAGCTATGTTGCCCAGGTTGGTCTTAAACTCCTGGGCTCAAACGATCTGCCCACCTAGACCTCCCAAAGTGCTGGGACTACAGGCATGAGCTACTATGCCCAGCCCTTCACATATAATTTTCTGCCTGCTTAGCATCCTCTCCTGACTTCTCTTTGCTTCCAAATCTTACACCTCATCTAAGGCTCATTGACTTATTTGGGAAGACTCCTAGATGCTGAGCTCCAAGGCTCTCACTGTTGTTTGCCCTTCTCTACCAAGATAGTGTCTTCTTCATGTTTGTACTCCCTTCAGCATACTGTCATGCACAGAGTAGATGCTAAGAAATCGGTGATTGAATTATGCACACTATTCAATTACTATCCCAATTTTCATTTTGCTGAGACACCATTTATATTTCACTAGTTTCATTATTTCACTGGTTTTATTTCCATGGTATATAAGGATATAAAAAAAAAAGGTAATACTGAGAGAGAAAAATGAACTCTAAAAATATAAATATTGTAATTTTAATTCTCAGTAAGAAGAATAGGGCTGGAACTTGACAAAATAATCTTTCCAAACAAATCGTTCAACATTCTGCAGTCCCACTTGAGCGCTGAACAGGGGTAGCCCATTGTCCTGGGCAGTTACATGAGAGGAATATGACTTTTAAAGCTTGTAACCACTCAAAGCCACAGTTTTGCTGGGATTGACTAATCACCAGAGACTCCTCTGCTTTTCTTAGCATGTGCAGCCAAGAATGAAGCAGATCAAGGATCCAGGAAGCCAGAAAAGAAGAAGTGGTATGTTTTGAAAGTTTGAGGAATTTCAAGTAGGTTTTGGCCAGGCGGGTGGCATACAACCTTTCAGTCAGACAGAAAGGCCAGCATTGAAGGGCAGCTGGAGTTCAGAGAGCCAGCTTCCTTTAAGTGTGTGGGCTTACGGCAAAACTTTCCTCATCGAAACTCCAGGTTAAATATTAGCATCTTTGGTGAATTTAATCTTAAATTTGTGCCCTTAGAAGAGCTAAGATGGTAGAATACTTACAGCATCCTCTACTGAACCAAGTAGCTTGTTTAAAACACTCGTCTCAGAGGAGTTACAATAGCACAACAGTCCCTGGAGACCACCCCATATGCTGGAGTTTCCAGGCGGCAAAAAGACCTCCTTCTCAGAGAAACGACCATTCGGGCAGACAGCATTCTTCGCCAACATCTAAAAGATTAATAAGAGTGGGAAGGAGTAACATTTAAAGAGGCTTAGATACCCTCTTCATGGGCTCAAGAACTGCAAATATAATAAGCAATGATAAACATTTTAAACACAACATAAAGTTTTGAAAAACCTGCATATTGTTCCCTTTTTTAGCTAGCACAATTCACAAAAGGAGCAAAACTGAATATTGCATGAGCTTCTTGAATGTTTTATTAAAAATGCTTATTTATAATTATTTGTTGTGCTTTACCTGTTTCAGCTCCCAAAAGAACACATCCTTTTCCAGTTTCAATTGGTTAAGTTCAAACCATTTAAAATCATTAGCTGATGTCTCCAGGCAAATGAGGACTTCTGCAAAGTAGACAAATTGATTATTATTCACCTAAGGTAAGTAAGCTTGACTTTTATACATGGCCATGAATCAATAAACTGGATCCTGAAAACATGGATTTTTTAAAAACTTGACCTATTATTATACATTTTCTTCTCTTCCTTAGAAAGGAAAACAGGAGTCATTGTAATATCATTTTGTCCTTTCCAAAGACTAGTGAGAATGAGTTTTTACTTCTAAAGTAACATCCCCCCTCACTTTTTCCCTCTCCTCCCTGAGAAAATGAAAAGGCTGCAGCCCATCTGGGCAAAAGTCCAAACCCAACTTCCTCAGAAGAGGGAAGAAAGAATAATGCTCACCATAGTCAAGAAAGTTCAAAGAAGGGCATTCTGCAAACCCAGGGGGAACACACTCTCCCTACCGGACACCAAGAAGCATTGGTGGGAGGAGGCAGTAGAAGGAACAGAATACAAAAGATACGCTTATTCACAACGCACTCTGGTCCCTTTCCAGCCTGAAAACCACAGATGCTGCCGTGAATGTGAAAGTCAACCCAGCCTTAGGACACTGCTTGTCATAGGCCACAGCATGGGCTTAAGGAAAACAGAAGGATGCGCTCTTCACTGTGCCCTTATTGTTTATTTAGCCTTGGTGTGCTGTATTTTAAATCCCCTAGAAGGCATCAGAGTAAAGCATAAATATGCATATGACACCAGCAAAGTTATCTCCCAACTTTACAATGTGTCAGGCAGTTTCAAGTCCATTTTCCAATAAATTTCACATTTACTCTTAGTGAGTCAGGGACAAATAACACCAAAGCTAGCTTACCTTGGACAAAATGTAAATTCTGAGCTATCGCATTTCTGAGAGCTCCATCAAGCTGAAGAAATCTCTTCAGTGCCGGCCACTGGGGCAGGTTTTGCAGCAAGCTTTGCAATTTCCACAGATGCTGTAATCTGAGGGCAAAAATAAATAAATGAAATAAAATGAAAAGTAGTTCGAAGTGCCAATTAGGGAAATAAAAATTCCGTTCAAAGGAAAATATTCCACTGCTTTGAGAAGTGTGTTCACTAGACTGAAAGTCACACTTCATCACACAACCAGGTTCTTGACAAATTGCATTGAGTCACCTGATTGGGAGATTCTTTCAATACTGAATATGGATTAAACATTCTCTTTACCCCAAAATGGGAAAGTATATTCCTAGGTGTGTGTAAAAGAAGTGAGGGTTAGGATAAAGTTTCACATGGGGTCTAAAAACATTTGCCTTGAAGCCTATAGTTAATGAGATATAGAAAAATATTTTGAGAAAAGTTTCAAAATATAGAGATGGTGTGTGATGGTATACAGGACCCATCGCAGTGGTCCCAACTTGAGCCAATTGGCAATGCCTGTAGGATTCTCCAAGGTCAAAGGAAGAACGACCACCCAGGCAGCTCAATACAAATAGTCCCTAGAATGTCAGACTAACGGGCTCCAGACATGGAAGAAACAACTGAGAAGAGAAGCTGGAAAGAAAATGAGTTTGATAATGTGAAGAACCTGAAATTGGGAATAAATACGGGAGAGGGAGAAGCAAGGCATAGCCACACTGTGGGCAGCAGAACTGCCCAGAGCAGGTGAGTCCAGGCTTTCTGTGTCTTTGAGCAACTGCATGGAATCCTCACCTGTGATAAACGAAGCAAGCTACAGAAGGAGAAAAGCAGAAAGAGATGTAGCTACTTGAAGCCCAAGCAAAATGTTCCACTGGCTGGAGCCATCCCACTGCTTTGAGTGCCTGGCGTCCATTTCGACTTCTGTGCCATAGTGGTCAGTCTCTTCATGGCATCTTGATAGTTTGGGGTTGAACACAGGCTTGATAAATAGTTGCTGCTATTCTCTAGCTGGAGAGCTGATGGACCCAAGCACCGTAAAGGGTATAGAGAGAGTGAGCAAGGTCCCAATGATAATTCTCCTACAAGACACCAGCAGGAACTGGTACCCATCCCCACGTCATCACCCTACAAGGCGGAGCAATTGCTCCATCAGAGCCACATGCTTGGGCTTTCTGGCTGCTGACCAGACTCCTGACACCTCATGCTAGAGTGAAGCTGGACACATGGCTTTTGGAATTGGCCATCTGCAGAATGAACTGGGCTTAGGTCAGTCATTGTTCTGACTCTTTGGATTACACTGAGAAGGAAGCAGAGTGGCACTTGGAAAGAGCTAGAAAGTGAGAAAGAGATTATTTTATTTTCCCCAAGGAAAAAAGAAATGCTGTGTGGCTTGGAACCTGGATCTTACTGTCAAGTCTCTTTAAACTCTGACAAGCAAGGATACCACATGGCCAGACCCTAGGGACTATTCCCCCCACATCTGTGAACAGACACTTCACATTCACAACAACGTGCGACATTGAAGGGTGAGTCCTTGCTGGAAGGCGCAGAGGCACCTCTGTGAGTCCTCGCCTTGCCAAAATCCACGCTATCTGCTAGAGCCTGGGTGAAGAGCTCCCACACCTCAGCCACCCGTACTGCAGGGACGTGGGCAGGAACCAGAAAGAACCTGGAGGAGAAAAGGCAGTCTGTAATGACACGAAAAACTCAGTAGAAAACTGAGAGTCTGGTGTGATTTCCATTTATTTTGGGTGAACTTTGCAGCTTAGGAAGAGAAAAAGATATGAACAATTGGCTATGAAGACAAGGTAGTGAAAAAGGGATGGGGTTTCTTGGACCAAAGCTAATGATAAAAGATATACAATTTTCTGCTAAGGGTGCATGTGAATCTCAGAAAGATTTAAATAAGGCTGAAGGTGGCCAGCTGCGGTGGCTCACGCCTGGAATTCCGGCACTTTGGGAGGCCGAGGAGGGCAGATCACTTGATGCCAGGAGTTCAAGACCAGCCTGGCCAATACGGTGAAACCCTGTCTCTACTAAAAATGCAAAAATTAGCTGGGCAGTAGTGGTGTGAGCCTGTAATCCCAGCTACTCAGGAGGCTGAAGCAGGAGAATCGCTTGAGTCTGAGAGGTGGAGGTTGCGGGGAGCCAAGATCGCGCCATTGCACTTCAGCCTGGGCAACAGAGCAAGACTGTCTCAAAGCAAAACAAAACAAAACAAAGAAAAAAAAACAGCAGATGGACAGCAAAGCCAGTGTTTGGGCCTCATCTTCCTGGCACTGAGAATGTGTGGAAATTTTATATGGGGGCAGAAGAATGTGGGCTATCCTAGCTTTGTACCTAGAGTGTGGTATAGTCTTCAGCTTCCCCCCATCTCTGTAGGACTAAGAGCCAAGTACAGCTTCCTGGGGCTTCAATCCCCTGGCCTGGCACAGAGCAGGCAAAATCCTAGGCTAAAGTGCCAGGGGGCATTCGAGATTTGTAGGATAATTACGGTGACTTAATGTGGTGTTTCTATTAATGTGCATTAAGTGACAGACCAGCAGGGAGGTTTTCAATATCCCCAGTGCAATGTCCCTGCATTTGTTCATTTATGACAGATGTTTTGTCCCTGCCCTTTGCCTAGAACACTACTTCAAGGCATCCTTGCTGGCTCCCTGCATCCATCCTCCTGTAGCTTTTATGGCCCGGATAGGGAACTGTATTTCTGCCTTTAGCGCAAGCACCTCAGGCCCCAGAACATCTCTTAAGTAAAAGTTAGGAAATAGGACCTTCAAAAGCAAGATCCTGTTTGCTAAAAGTTCCAGAAAATGTGAAAGAACTGGAAGTGTTTAGAATTGCTATTTCTTAAGTAATCATAAGAACACAATATGGTCCTATCCAATTCTGTCATCACAACTCTCCTTCATGGTACACAGAGAGCAAGAATTTGTGTGACCTGGTTTGAAATGCACATTTTTGAGATAATATTGAGAAATCATATTCTTCTTTTCCAAAGACAGCCTTAACTTCAGAAGGATAATAAGATTCAAGTTACTACAAACTGCCACACCTACTAAGGAAAAAGATCTAGTCGGCTATTTTGGTGAATCAATTGTGGTTATCTTAAAAAGGAAGAAACAAGTTCCACCATTTCCTACTTCTACAATATTTCTGGACCTTATGTAAACACTTCAACTATACAAAATCTTTAAGTAAATATAAAAACATATTTTTTGAAGAGGAAGATTCTAGGAAAAGAGCTACTCATGTAAGGTAGTTCTGTACATAAAAATGCCTCCGAAATGAATTTATTCATTTTTAAACAAATGCCAAAGACATAAAATCTAAAATCTAGGAAACTGACACCTTCTCAAACATTGCTCCCGTATTCGGTCGATTGCAGCCTCTGAATAGGCATCCAGAGTGCTGCCAAGACTTCTACCCTGGTGATGGTCCACAATGAAAGCCTCTGATTTCCCATTTGCTAACAAGAAATTCATTATTTAGCTGTAGTTTTACAGAATGTGTTTCTAACAGTATCATCACGCACTCTTTAACATTCTGTGTCATCTACCTAATCAATAATCAAACAGGGAAATGCGACTTACATCTTTGGAAATGTATGATTATCTTTTGGGCCATCTGCTGACAAGCTGTCATTCAGCAGGAGCAGTGCAGTGTGCAGAGCTTCCACCACCTTCCAGGGCTTGCTCTCTTCTTCAAACTGATTCCTGAGAGCCTCCAGACTATGGCCCATGCCTGTGAGTGTCTTCTGAAGCAGGCTACCCTGTTGCCACTGAACAAACACCTACAAATTCGGAAACCAAAATACTAGCATTAATAATAGCAAATTGGAAAGAACAGTATTTAGTTAAGAAATATTAACATACCACTCTAGATGACAGACAGCCAATCTTTATTTTTTGGTAAATTAAAATGTCTGTTAGCAATTGCAGTATGATTTAATTTCTACTCAGAAATTAAAGATTTCATGTTGCAACAATGGATGCACACAACTTTATAATCTCTGCCTTATTTCTCTTTTTTCCCCCAAAAGAGAAAAAGAGAGAAGGGAATAACATACACCTCTAAACAAATGAAATACAATTTAAAACCTAAACGAACATATTTAGGATAGCATAAATATATTTGCATATTTTTAAATATATACCAAAGTTAATACATGGTTACTAAGTGTCATTTTACGACACGGACATGGTGAGGATGATACTGAAGTCAATTAGCACTGTGGTTTGTCATCAACATTACACAAAAATAGATCATTCTTGCCCAAGCCTGATGGCATGGAGAGGTGCACGATGTACATGTATGTGTGCTAACTATGCCTTAATTAACCATGAGTTATGTTACCCAGATAATGCACAAAGCAAGTGTGTCCACTAGACCATTGGATGCTGGTCATTTCAGCACTGTCCCTTGATTATTTTAGTGCCGGATGACTTTAGTGCCACGAAGCAGACGACAACACCTATATATTTTTAAGGATGTTTTATCTACCATTTGAGATTTTGGCCTTTATACATGACACATATTAGCGGAGAACAAAGTTAAAGAGGTGTGTTCTTTAAGGAAAAACATGAGACAGAGACGGCAAAGCCTGATAAAACAAATGGGAAGTGACTGCCAGGGGAGCTCTGCCTCACAGTCTCCAAAACCTCCCCAAGAAGCGCAAAGCTGTGAAACAGCCAGGGCTCCATGAGCTTCTGAGGCCAGGAGCAATCTAATCACTCAGGCCCTCTGCCCCACACCAACATCCCTATAAAGACAGACTAGAGCCTCCCTTCGTGTTGTTAAATTATGGTCACTGAAATCACAGTCACTGTTTGTGCACAGAGCTTCTGGTCAAAACCAGAGTGAAGAGACAAGGCCAGTTCAGAGCTTAAAGTGCTAGAGGGATGCCCAATGCTAGCATGCAAATGTCCAAAGAGCTGGTCATAGTACTCCAGGGCAATCTCATGCACCAATAACAGAGCATGGGTCTAGGAACTTCTGAGTTGCCAAGGTGTGTGTGCAAGCCTAGGATAGACTGTTTGGTGATGAGTGTTGAGGGCCTAGGCCTATGGAGCTGGAGCCAGTTGATGCACATGGGACAAGGTGCACTCAATGGCCAGGATGTGGGGCTCCTAAGGCCCTTTCCTTGGAGGGACATAAAATCCAACAGTAAACATGGCAGGGCAGGGGAGGAGAATGGATTTGGACACTCAAACTGGCACACCTTTGAACAGAACATAGAGAGAGGGGACAGCACCTGTTGGTAGACTCGCAGCCAGCTGACTGCATGGACAAGATAGTTTTTGGCTTCTGACCACTTAGGGTGGCAGCCTCCAACGTGGCCCCATTTCTCAGCTTCATCCTCTGATGTGCTAGACAAGACTGAACACACCATCTTCTCCAAGGAAGTGTCTGTGGGAATCTGACAACAATATGAAAAAATATTTAGACATAAAGCTCCTTTCCTAGAACCTTCCTCTTCTAAAAATAACACCACGATCTTGCCACAGTAAAAGTTCTTACATTTGCTTGATTGAAGAAGTAAGTGATGATATCTATGTGATTTACCTTGAGGGAAGACTTGGTAGTTAAAAAAAAAAAGTTATATTTTTCAGTTTCATCCACAAACAATAGGAACAGCTGTTTCTCCAGGCCAAGGACATGGAGATGACATCAAATCTTGTTTCTTTTCATTCTTAGGCCAAAAGTGAACATGGGTCAGCCCAGTTTAATTCATACTTCGGACTAACAAAGTTGTTTTGCCAAGAACATTTTCTTTTCTGACTATCAAAAGTGGATAAAATTGGAAAGATTCAAATTGAAGTCCTGGGTCAGAAACTGTTTAATGTTTTTGAACCAAATCTCCTTTATTTTATACATGAACTTCAACACAGTGGCTGGGCACGGTGGCTCACGCCTGTAATCCCAGCACTTTGGGAGGCCGAGGCGGGTGGATCACGAGGTCAGGAGATAGAGACCATCCTGGCTAACATGGTGAAACCCCGTCTCTACTAAAAATACAAAAGATTAGCCAGGCGTGGTGGTGGGCGCCTGTAGTCCCAGCTACTCAGGAGGCTGAGGCAGGAGAATGGCGTGAACCCAGGAGGCGGAGCTTGCAGTGAGCGGAGATCGTGCCACTGCACTCCAGCCTGGGCAACAGAGTGAGACTCTGTCTTAAAGAAAAAAAAAAAAAAAGAACTTCAACAGAGTTCCTGTAACACTGCTTTGTAAATACTTATGTTTATGATATAATGAAGCACATTCCCCTATTACATCATTTTACAACAATTATAATGCCATCTTTAAGAGATTCTGTTGGTGACTGCCATGGTCTAAATGCTTGTGGCCTCCCCGCCAAAATTCGTATTTTGAAATCCTAGCCCCCAAGGTGATGGTATAAGGAGATGGGGCCCTGGGGAGCTGGTCAGATCATGAGGGTGAACACTTGTGAATGGGATTAGCACCCTGATAAAAGAGACCCAGGGAGTTCCCTTACCCCTTCTACCACGTGAGGACACACCAAGATAAATTTCTGTTGTTTACAAGTCTGTGGTCTTTTGTTATAACAGCCTGAATTGACTAAACAATGACAATAGTCAGAAAGCTTAATTTTAGTCCCATGTGTTCACTTTTAGGTTCCTTTTGGATCAGGATTTAAAATATTAACCTGTGACTGTCAAAGCACAGGGTCCCTGATGTTTTGTTCTATTTTTTTCCCTTAATTAAAAATAATCAACAATACCATGTATCATGTTAGATAGATAAGGCCAAGTCCCCACTCAGATGCTCACAGCCTATGAGAGGCAGATATGCAGCCATCAGGCTCCCTGGGACATGCCCTATTATAGAAGGTTGAAGAAGTAGAGGCAGAGGCTGAAGTGAGGTCACAGGAGATCCACAGAGGATGTGAGGTTAGATAAATCATTTTCCAATTCAGGAGGCAGAGGCAGGGAAAGAGGAGGACTATTCTCTTGCAGGGGCAGCATGTGCTGAGGCCCCCAGCAGGCCCAGAGAGTGACAGGGTCAGGAGTCAGACAGACCCCAGGGAGGGCCTAGGCTCACAGGCTGATGCAGATGGAAAGGGCCCTGTGAAACCACCTTTGCAGATTATGAGAGTGAGAGAAGTCTAGCATGGCTGACTCCACCTTGCTTCTAGCCTCAGAGGCTGGCTGTCCTTGCTCACTCCTGGGCATATACCAAGCTAACCATGGGAGGAATTTAGTTTGTAGTTTAACTTTTTAGCAAGGTTGATAGTAGTCCCTCCCTAAGATGAATCCCCTCATTTCTCAGGTACAGAACCTGCCCTTGTAAGACTAATAAAAGGCCACAAGATTAAGATTATGAGAGTGGCTTGAATGCTGCTAAAATGTAGGTGTAGCTAAATGATAATCAGCCACTGGTCCCTAGCTTGCCTTCTATAATCCCTTGCTGCTCAGGAGTCATGGGGCCAAAGATCACAAGATATGTGACTTCCTCAATTGCTCCTATAGATAACATCACTATTGTCAAACCCAAGATTGGTCTCTTGAGACGTTTTTCAGACTTTTGCATTTTTCCACATCCTTGTGATTTCATCCCCAACCAATCGGCGAAACTCATTTCCTAGTCCCCTGCCCACCAAATTATCCAAAAAAAAAAAAAAAAAAAAAACCCTACCCTCTGAGTTCTCAAGGAGGCTGATTTGAGTAATAACTCCAGTTTTTTCCCTTGGCTAGCTCTGCATTAATTAAACCCTTTCTCTACTGCAATACTGCAGTCTCAATGAATTGGTTTTGTCTGTGCAGTGGGCAGGAAGAGCTCACCAGGCAATTACACTTACGAAGGGTGGGAAGCAGGCAATGTTCCCCCAAGATGTCCATGTCCCAATCCCAAGAGCCCATGAATATGTTATGTTGTATGGCAAGTGAGATTTAAGGCTGCAGATGAAATTAAGGCTACTTATCACCTGGCTTTGAGATGGGCGATTATCCTGGGTAACCTGGTGAGCCCAGTGTAACCACAAGGGTTTTTATTGGAGAAAGGAGGCAAAAATGTCAGTGCCCAAGTGATGGGATATGAGAAGAACTAGACCTGCCATTGCTGGCTTTGATGATTGAGAAAGAGGCTCAGACCCAAGGAATGTGGATGGCCACTGGAAGCTGGAAAAAGCAAGAAAACAGAATACGCCACCCCAAAGTATGTTTCTTTGGCATATGGATTATTTTGAGCTAAAGACAAACTGAAAACCAGCAGAGGCAGGAAAAACTTCTTACCGTTCCCTAACTGTTTAAAAATAGAGTATAAATTTCCTTTTGGTAAAGGAAATTTAGATTTATAAAGAAAATTTACATTATTAAGATAATTTTCATCTGTAAAGATGTCTCCTACCAAAAAGAGAGCTGCTTCTCCAAATAACTCTGATCACCTGGGAGATTTCTCTGCAAAACAGGATAACTCATTCACCATATATTTCCTCCCCTCACCTTCCCATAACTTGCCTTGCTACTCAGAAACCCCAAGCCCCCTTTCCTTTGTATAGATAGCCTTGGATGGCATATAAGCCTTAATAATCTGGCTGCTTCCTTAAAATACAGGTGATCCTTGATCTACAATGAGGTTACATCCTCATCAACCCATCATGACTTGAAAATATCATAAGCCAAGAATACATTTAGTACACCCAACCTCAAAACATAACCAAACTTAACCTAGCCTACCTGAACTGTGCTCAGAACACATACATTAGCCTACAATTGGAAAAATAATCTAACACAAAGCTTATTTTATAATAAAGTATTTATTATCTCATGTAATTTATTGAATACTATACTGAAAGTGAAAAACAGAATGGTCATCAGGGAAGATCTACACATTTCTCTTTGTGAACTCCCATACATACCTACACAATAACTGGTTTTCCTCTTCTTTATCTGTCTTTTATCAGGTTAATTCATGAGCCCCAGCCATTGAAGATGGAATAATAGAGAAAAAAAGAATTTTTCCTCCCCCACAACAGTATGTCCCCTTGACCTCAAGAAGGATTGCAGCCCTGCAGACACCTTGATTCTAGCCCAGTGAGACCATTTCAGGCATCTGACCTCCAGAACACTATGATAAAAGAAAATGTCAGTTGCCTTAAGGCACTATGTTGGGGGTAACTTGCTACAGCAGCAATAGAAAGCTCACACACATGATGTACAATTTCCATGGAGCTCTGTTGATATACACAGTGGTATTTTCTGATCACTTTCCTTTTAATTCTAATCTCAATATATTGAACATTCTAAGGTAAAAGTTTTACATAGTTCACTCAAACTATAATATAATGAGAAAACGGGGTTATAAAGATGGAGAAAACTAGAATAAAAGTCAGCCAACTGGGGTTTCATATTCCATCTACATCAGCATCCATGAGAAAACCCAAGGGTCACAATTTCAAGTCCTGTGGTAGGTAGATAGTTCATAAAATTGTGAGATGATTAATAAAATTGTGCCAGGGATACAAGAAGCACAAAATTTAGTATACTTTGGTGAAGCCTAAACCTACCTGGTAGAACTGGGTTTTCAAACACCAAGCCAGCATGAGGGTCTGCTGGCTGCAACCCAACCATCTAACCCCTGAGACTGAGAGCACAGATCCAGAGTCTAAATACTGAAAGCAACAGTCTGAACACAAACTAGCTGCACTGAAATGTGAAAAGTGCTATCTGGGAAGACCAGGTTGTGGGGAACTCACAAAAAAGTGAGCAAAATCTACATAACCAGCATGGACTGAGATCCTAATGGAAGAGAGTGGGTCCTCTCCAAACATTCCTAACTCAACACTGACCTAGGAGCTGCACCAGAAATGCTCTAACCCTGGAGGTGGAGTCTATGGACCAAAGCTCCAGGTCCCGCATAGTTCTTGGACCTGCACCATGCAAAGCAGAAGTGCCTACAAATGGGCTGGAGTGACAAAAGGGACTCTGTAACTAAAAGATATCTCCCAGAACCTCAGCAATACCAACAGTGAACTGGGTCTTGGGGATCGATCATCCAGTCCAACTCCCTTATTTCACCTAGTTAGGGAAGAGGCTCAACTTTGGTGAACCCAGCAGGCATCCATAACGTACAGCTCCTACTCTTCTAATGAAAACTATCTCTTTACCTGGAAATTCACCCACTTGTATCCCCACTCACTACAGCTGGTGCACCATCTTCCTACCTGGACCCCACTAGCGCTGTCTTCAGAATCTCACACCCTCACTTGACCTGGCCTCTCCCACTGCTAGTTCCCAGAGCAATCAAGTGTCATATTATTTCTAAGCTGCCTTTCCATTCTGGGATAAAACTACATGGTAAGAAGAAAGAGACACTTCTAGAAAAGCTGGAGACAGTAGGGGTCTCTTCTGCGTAAGGAGCTCGGGTTTTGACCGAACTCTCCTGTCTGGCTGCCTCTCCCGTGGCACCCGCTCACCCTGCCCCAGCAGCATGCTCTAGATCCAGTCTCCAGGAAAGGCCCAGCGGTGTGAGAAGCAGTCAAGCATGTGTACCTCCTTCAGTTCAGCTGAAGAGTTCAGGATCTGTTCCGTGTGAAGATCATCAAAGCCAAACTGGGATTTGAGATCATACTGGACTTTCTGTGGATCCCACACTATATTCTGCATGGACAGGTGGTAAACTGGCTCTGTTGGAATAACAAAAGATTTACACCAGCAGTTGTTTGAATATTTTGATATGTTTAATGTAATCCAGAAAAAAAATACCTTTTTTCACCTCTAAAGGAAGAGCAAATGAAGACCAAACACCACTGGGGCATCAGATAGAAAAAGCAAACAGAATAAACACTTGCTGCTATAGAGAGAATGGTGAAGTGTCCCATGCTCCCTGGCACAAATGGTTGCAACATTTCCAGAAGATAATTTTAAAACATATTTCAAGAGCTTTATAAAATTCAAGTCATTGAACCCAATAATTTCACTTCTAAAAGTCTTTCTCAAGAAGCTTAATCAGATATCTGAGCAAAAATTAAGGTACGACAATATTTTATTGGTTCTATACTGATAAAATATTGAAAACCAGTTAAGTGTCTAGTATCCAGGGAAAGGATAAATTATAGTATATCCATAGCATAAAATACTATGGAGTCTTTAAAACTGTATTCTCAATAATTATTTGAAGTCATAAGAAAAAGTTCCCCTAACTCAAGTTATCAACATATAAAATTCATGAGCTACCCAAAAAACCCATGGCACTATCTAGTAGTGACACATTCAAAATATAAATCGAAGACCCCCAAGGTATGACAAAATCTCTGGGGAGTATGCCTCAGCAACTGCAAACATAAAAACACATAAATTTCTTGGTGTGTTTGAATCTTGAACCTTCATTTAGAAATTAGATTGTTTCAGATCATGATGATTCAACACCCATTGACTGAGCCCCTTCACCTGCCAGCCACTAATAAGCCATTTTCACAAGCATTATCTCATAGGATCCTTATAATTGCAGTGAGGTCTACAAAAAAAAGCACAATCCATGACATTCACAAAGACAGACCAAGTCAACGGGGACTTCAGGAAGGTGTTAAAGATGGGGAAAATCCCAGAAATACAAGATTTTTTGTTTCCAGTCTGATTGCCTTTACATGGCATCATGGGAGGAAAAAAGATTGGTGTCTGAGATTAAAACCAGCATTTATTGTATGTTGAAGAGGTACTAGGACCTAGACTAAGAATACACCATGGGAGGTCTCACTTAGTCCTCCAACAACACTATGAGGTAGGTGCTGTAATTATCCCCTTTTTCTTAGAGTCCCACTTGTTAGATTAAGCCTCTGATTCAAACCCAAATGATCTGGCTTCCAAAGCTGAGCTGTAACTATTAATCTCTACTGGTCTCAGAAGGTATTAGAATTACTCACAGAGTTCCAGAAAGGAGAGAAAAAATAGTGACATCAGTGTAGCATACTTATAAAAGTATAAAATCTTTCTCAAAAAGTGAAAGACAACTTGGATTCAGAAATTTGTTGCTAAACAACAGAGAATTCAGAATGTGTAGATTAACAGTTTTAGTGCATAACATAATTGGACCAGTAGCCTAAAGCCACATGAGGCCACTCATCCCTTCCTCTTCACATTGGAATTGGCTCATCAAGCAAAAGAATTTTTCTTGGAGACAAGAGACATGAAGACAATTTTTAGTTACCTCTCAAAGTATGTTTTGTAATAGTGTTCCTTAGCTTTGACTCGCTGGAGAGTTAATAGAAAATTGTTTATTTTAATTACATTCTTAACGGTAATTACATTTTCAATTGTAAGGCAAATTTGTTGTTGTAATTTGGATGATGTACAAAAACTTGAGCTTCTAAATGAGTCTGTTAAATTAAGGTCACTGGGAAGATTTCGATGAGGTGTTTTATTCATCTCGCACCCCACCTCTGGGTTTTGTTCTCAGCATAAGAAATACTTCCCAGTGGAACTAACCTAACCTGAAAATGGAGTTAAACGTTAATGAGCTAGCTTTCTCTTACAGAAAGCTAAAAAAAAAAAAAAAAAAAAAAAAATTCCATGTGGGTCTCACTGTGCTGAGTCACAAGCAACAAGAAGAAAGAAGCAACAGGTGGAAAGGTGGAATTTGGGGCCATAGAGGGTTTCATGTTAGTTTGCTCCATGAAGCAGCAAAATTCTGAATGGGATTGTAGAAATCTCTGTGTATAACAATCTCATTGTACAATAGTTCAGGGTTGGGCGCAGTGGCTCACGCCTGTAATCCCAGCACTTTGGGAGGCCGAGGAGGGCAGATCACCTGAGGTCAGGAGTTTGAGACCAGCCTGGCCAACATGGTGAAACCATGTCTCTACTAAAAATACAAAAATTAGCCAGGCGTGGTGATGCACGCCTGTAGTCCCAGCTATTTGGTTGGCTGAGGCAGGAGAATTGCTTGAACCCAGGAGGCAGAGGTTGCAATGAGCCAAGATCTCACTGCTGCACTGCCGCCTGGGCAAAAGAGCGAGACTCCATCTCTAATAATAATAATAATAATAATAGTTCAGGAGACTGAGACCTCAGGAGAAAGTGGCTGATGGAAGACTTGCTCCCAGGATCCTGAACCCCAGAACTACCTGCCTCCAATCTACTCCTCACACCGGCCCAGGAGTGTCTTTCTATAATGCAGATCTAATTCTACTGCTCCCATGGCCACTCGTGTTTTGGCCTGGGCTCCTTTCTATGCCACCCCCTGCTACTGCCCACTGTACCTCAGACACACTGAATGTCAAACATTCACAGCTCTCAGCAAGCCCAAGTATCTCACAGTCTTCTCTCTTCCTGGAAATGCTCCCTCATCTCTTTGATAAACTCCAACTCACCCTTCAAAACTCCTCCTTGAAGTTTTTCCTGAAGCAGATGTCAGATCCTTACTCTGTGGTCTTTGTTTTTTGTTTGTTTGTTTGTTTGTTTTTTATTATTGACATATCTCTCTCCTTTACTAAACATGACTTCCTTGAAAGTAAGAACTATGCCTTTTTTTTTTTTTAACTTTAAGTTCCGGGATACAAGTGCAGAATGTGCAGGTTTATTACATAGGTATACATGTTCCATGGTGATTTGCTGCACCTATCAACCCATCATCTAGGTTTTAAGACCCGCATGCATTAGCTATTTGTCCTAATGCTCTCCCTCCCCTCTCCCCCGACCCGACGACTGGACCTGGTGTATGTTGTTCCCCTCCCTGTGTCCATGCATTCTCATTAAAGAACTATGTCTTATTCAGCTTTTTATTCCCACTCTCTGGGGAAGTGTTTGGCTCATAGGAAGTGCTCGTTGTTTATTCAATGAGAGAATGAATAAATAAATGAACAGATGAATGGGTTGGTGGGTTGGTGAGTAGATGAATGGGGAGGTGGATGGACAGATGAATGGATGAGTGAGTGGATGGATGGATGGATGGATGGACGGATGGATGGATTAATGGATGAATAGATGGATAGATGGATGGATTAATGGACGAATAGATGGATAGATGTATAAAGAGGTTGATGAGTTGTTTAGTGGGTGAATGGGTAGGCAGATGGATGGATGGATGAATGGATGTGTGGGTGGATGGATGGACAGATGAACAGATAAATGGGTGGATGAATTCCAACTTTGTTGTTCTCTCACTGTATTTCCCTTAGAGAAATAGCCAAAGATAGAAAAATAGAGAAAAGAAGGGAATTAAAAGTAAAAAGCTCAGACTCAGTTGGTAATTCAGGAAATAATAATATCCTGGATCAAGAAAAGAGCTATATAATTCCATTCCCTCCCCTGTGGTAGGGCTGCTTATTTAGTTAGGGACTCTGTAAGTCCACATCAACCTGCCTCCTCTTACTAGCTTTGCCATTTTTAAAATATTTCCTCCCAATAGGAGCTTAGAGAGAGGAAAGATTAAAATCACAGAGCTAGTGATAGGTCTAATATTAGATGAAATAAAGTCAAAGAATTTTAAAATCAGTTATTTTTAACTTAAAAATATCATTTATATTAGCAATGACTGCAGAATGTCAACAGTGGTAGAAAGTCAAATTCAGTTTCGAGTTCAAAATTTTTATTCTATTTTTGTCTTGTATTAACAGAAACAATTCATACTTTTTTGAATTTGAAATTTTAATTAAATCATTTTGAACATCATTTTAGCTCTATGTCAACTGTCAATGAATTTAAGTAGTTAAACGTTTTGAAATATAGCAATAGCTACAAGGCACCCATACCGGTGACTGCTACTCCATGTTGCTGCAGAAATGTCAGTGTCGAAATGGTCACATTCAGTACAAGTTCAGAAACCTGGGAAAAAGTTTGGTTGAGTGGAAGCCAATCTAAATCTTCTAGGGATATTAAGGAACTAGAACCAAAACAAAACAAAAAGCAATATGAGTGGGTAGTTAGCAAAACAAGTAGCATCAATTCTAGGTTTACTTACATCCCATGGACTGGGCCCCTAGTGCTGTTGCAAGATGTGGCTGGACCATTTACATGTCAGCATTCTTTGTGGCTTTAATGTGACCCTAACTCCCTGAACTAGTAACTAAATGTAAGAGGTAAGGTCTTCTCTTGAAACACTTGAGAACTTAGGCCATCTTCCACTCTGCCTTTGACACAGAACTCAAGTTTGCATTGGCTCTGCCATAGGTGTTATTTTATACTCAGCCTTGATTCTTCCTGCCGCAGGGCAGCTGATGAGGCCAGCCAGGGTGCAAAGGGCTGCTATGTTAGAAAAGCAAATGAACAGTCAGCCTGGCTGCTTCAAGTTCAGATAATCAGTCTAATATTTGGGGGGCAATACCATGTACCTCAATCCTCCACCCTGTCTTAACCTATGGATCTGAATAGGTCAAGGGTTAATCAGTGGCTGTTAAACTGTTTCAAAGAACAAGGAGCTTTGGGGAGGGAGAATCTACATATACATATTAATTTTATTTTTAAAATATTAATATTTTATTTTATAAATAAATATGCTTAAATTTGTAGATTAGAAAATGCACTCAACAGAAGTTGGAATATATCTGCATTTTAGCAACATGAGACCAACACAATCATAAGCTGTGCTTCCAAACAGATTATTTCCTTGTAGATTTTCATCAAGAAAAATCTTTTATGACAACTTTGTGTATTGAAGCGTATCCCAGGATTATAAGATATATCACTGAAACCTGGTACCACTTGCAAATACTTCTATGAATGCAGATTTTCTTGATATCATGCCACTGAAGCCAAATATGGAAATACAATTTATACTGAAGCTGATATGGTTCAACAACTGTCATCAATATCTTCTCATTTTAAATTTTGCATCTCTCAGAATAGCCAATTATTTTCGTTGTTCACTGCTAACACAGTCAGAGCTTCGGGCAAGAATACAAAGGGAGGCATTTCAAATATGTTCAAATATTTAAGTTATAAATCAAGCTAACTAACTATCAAAATACGTTCCATTTTCCTACATTGACAAATAGATCTTCATAACAACTTGGAAAGCTACATTCAAATTTAGAATTTTGTGATCCTCAGAGTTACGCACCAGAATGTGGGAGTTTGGGGAGCACCTGTCCCTGGCCCCAACCTTCAGTCCACTCCTCCCCTATGTGCTCCCCACCCTCAGCTTGGTCTGTACCTCAAGGGGCCTCAGTGCACATAGGTAGGTCCTCCAGCCTACAAAGCCCAACAGCACCCGTGCCTCCCACCCCACACTCCTGCCAATGGCTGCAGCCATCCCTAGAATACCCTTGGGCTGCAGGAGCCACAGTCCAGTGTTAAGACTTGCCCTCAGAAGGAGGGGCCAGAAAAGAGGCTTGACCATGATCTGGTCATTAAATTAGGGAACTCCAGGGTGAGAGGGAATCAGGGTGTGTGGGCTCCGTGGACACATCCCCTTCACCCCATGGGCAGTCTGAGCCATGAGCAGAGGCACAGTCCAGGGAAAGCCAGAACGGGGACCTCCCCAAAGCACAGGCCCCAGGACAGGGCCCTTTTTGTTGTAGCTTAAGGGTAATGTGGCTCTCACCAATGGCAGATAGAATAAGTAACAGTTAAAAAACAGAGAAGAATATAAACCTTTGCTAATGAAAAATAATAAAACCCATTATTCATACAATGAGTTTACACAAAATAATTCAATTGGTTATAAAAGAGGGCCATGCTGATTAAGGCATAAGAAGCCCACCACGGGAAGGGATGCTCCCAAAGGTCACCCCAGGTAACATGGGGGTCAAATCCAGCATAGGAGACCAACGTCCAGCTAACTGAATTACACAACTGAAGCAACTGAGCTTATCAGTTCTGAATGCTATACTGGGCAACTATGGCATAATTTCTTAAGAAATTAGTTGAAATTATTATATTCAAGCCTATCTCTAATAGTGAAAAACTCAGAAACAACCAAAAATCCAATGCCAAATTTATTAAGTAAATTACAGTATATAGTACTTTACCAGAATGATATATGCTGCAGCCATTAAAACTGGCCATTTATAAACTATAACAACATACAAAATATTAAAATATGGCGCTGACTTTTTTAAATCAGGGAGCACACGCTCTGAACAACATCACTGCCTGTATATAAAATATGTACACAGACAGATGAGGGACGTTCGTGGAGGTGCAGAAGCTCCTCTTGTTTCAAGGTAACATTATTGTGAGGTTTTTTTAAATCCAACAATTAGTAATTTTTATTTCTCATTTTAAAAATAAGGTAAAAAAACAACATATTGATACTTAGTTATGTTTTTCTTTTTCACTCACTTCAAAATGGTCTGGAGAAGGTTCACTGCAACATCCATGCCATCTTCCACATGATCATGGCTTGTGTGTAGTCTCGGCAGTAAAAGTAGAAAATCCCAGATATGAGGCTGCTGATGGAGGCTTTCCAGTTTCAATATTACCTCCTCGGTCTTATTGAGATCCATCTGATGGGAAAAAAAATACACCAAAAGTTTCCCTCTGGAGTTTTATTAATAAAGTAAATGAGACAGACAGATGCTACAAAGGTGCAAAATTGTAGACATTCTCCTAGTAGAAACTCACACTTAATATATCACTACATTGAACAGATTTGCCAATCTGCTGAACACAATGTTAAAACTATTCTGTGCAGTTGGAGGATTTTTTTTTAATGGCTTAAAAATATGGACAAGGAGGGAAAAATATGGATGGGGTAAGAAGAAAAAGAAGGCCGATTTTTGTAACAAGCTGTACCAACTTCTACAGTTTTTGAAGCAACAAAGTCTGTGACATAGATCCTGGATAAGAATGTAATGATCTATTCTTTACATGTAAATGATAAAGAAAAGAGAGTAATTCAAATATGAACAAAAAAACCCAACATTTCACTGAGCACTGATGGCTTGATCAGAAGGCAAATGCAGCTGGCCCATAGTATAGAGCCTTTGGATTTCTCTAGATACCCGAGGCTTTCTTATTATATGCCAAGAATGGCTAAGTGCAAAAATAGAAGGAACATGGGTCTCCAGTGCCTCACTGAGCCCGCATGCTCTCCCTAGGTGGAAAAACACCCCAATGCTCCATGACATCCCAGTAACAACTACCCCACACTCTGTGATCCAAGCTCCACAGTTGCTGGTTCTCTTCTTGCTGCCTAGTTCCCATTTCTTCAATAAAAGTGAGTCCTGCATTTTAGACCACTCATAAAAGTCACAGCATTTATCTTTCAGATGAGATAGAGTTAAAACAAACAAACAGAAAAAGAAGCATTCTCCAGAGGTCCAACTACTCCAAACGAGACACACTCCCTCTTCCTCACACCACTCTCAGTGGAATGAAAAGAGGGTCTCAGAACTCAGCAGGGTCCTGGGAAGCTCCCAGAATGAGCTCTTTCCATTTCTGGAGGATTCTGGCTTCTAGCACACTACCATGCTTTTCGGCATGACTTCAGCCACCATTCTCAGTAATTTCCATATCTAATGATCCTCAAATCCCCTCTGTTACTTTATCTCCCTTCCATCCAATGATATTTTCTTCCACCTGCTTGAATCACCCATTTCTCTGGTCAAAATCTTCATTTTGTTTTCATTATCAATAGCTACAACTTTATGCACCTCACTCTTCGATGACCAACCCCACTCCTTTTCTACAGTTCCCCAACTCTAATGACTCTTTGGCCCTACCAGGCCCCACATTCCATTCTGCCAACACCTCTTTCTTGTCCCCATTGCCCTCGTGCCCCTGGTCCATTCCTGGATGATCTTTCCCTTGAATACCCACTCAACTCTCTTCTCTTCTCACAATCTATCATATATTCCACTGGCAAAAGAAAAAAAAATCTATCCCCAGCCAAATTCAGTGCTTCAGTCCTCAGGCTGAGCTCAGCCCTCCTGCTCTCCCACCCCTCAAGAGCATCATCCAGCAATTCTCTCTTTTCCCCTCTATCGGTTCATTCCTATCAGCATGTTATTATCTGCCATCTTAAAAAACACAAGCTGTTCCTGCCATAAGTACAAAACCCCAAATGCAATCACGAACAGACATCAGGCAACCCCAAAATTGAGATAGATAGTCTACAAAATAAGTGATCTATTCAAAAATCATGATGAAATAAAAACAAAGACCGTTCCAGAACAAAGGAAACTAAAGACAGGACAACTGAATGCAATACATGATCCAAGATTTTCTTTTGCTGTTAAGGACATTATTAGAACAATTGGCAAATCTGGAAAAAGTCTATAGGTTAAATAATTCTATTGTATTAGTGTTAATTTTCTGATTCTAATAATTGTACTGTGGTTATGTTCAAGAATGACCTTGTTTTTCAGAAGTATACAGTGAAGTACAGTCAGCCTTTCGTAACTGTGTGTTAGGCATCCTTGGATTCAATAAACCATCGATTGAAAAAATTTAGGGAAAAAAATGGATGGTTCCATCTGTGCTGAACAGGGAGAGAGGGAGGGAAGAAAGGAGAGAGGAAAGATGGAAGGGAGGGAGGGAGGGAGGGAAGGAAGGAAGTAAAGAAGGAAGCAAAGAAGGAAGGAAGGAAGGAAGGAAGGAAGGAAGGAAGGAAGGAAGGAAGGAAGGAAGGCAGGCAGGCAGGCAGGCAGGCAGGCACGCACGCATGGTGATTAACGCCTATAATCCCAGTATTTAGGGAGGCTGAGGCCAGAGGATGGCTTGAGCCCAGGAGTTTGAAGCTCAACGACAGAGCATTTTTTGTCTCTAAAAAAATAATAATAATAATAAAGAAGGAAAATAAATCCATATCTCCTGTCTCCGTTTAGGTTCCCCTGCAACAAGGACTTGTATATAGGTGGCTTATTCAGGAGATGGTCCCAGGAAGAAGGAGCTGAGGAGGTGGAAAGAATGCTGCAGCGATTAAAACTGGCCATTTATAAACTATAACAACATATGAAATATTAAAATATGGCGCTGACTTTTTTAAATCAGGGAGCACACGCTCTGAACAACATCACTGCCTGTATATAAAATATGTACACAGACAGATGAGGGACGTTCGTGGAGGTGCAGAAGCTCCTCTTGTTTCAAGGTAACATTATTGTGAGGTTTTTTTAAATCCAACAATTAGTAATTTTTATTTCCCATTTAAAAATAAGGTAAAAAAACAACATATTGATACTCAGTTATGTTTTTCTTTTTCACTCACTTCAAAATGGTCTGGAGAAGGTTCACTGCAACATCCATGTTGCAGTGGGGAAAGAGGGAAAGAGGGAAAAGTCAATGCAGCCATCAAGGACCTGCACAGGCCATGCTGGCTTGAATCCTCAAAGCCTCTCAGGAACAAAGGTACTGCCCAGAGTTGAACCATTGCTGGGGGAAGTTGGACCAACCTTCCCCAGTTGCCCAGGACTGAGATGTTTCCTGGAACAAGGGACTCTCAGTCCCAGGCAATGTGAGTCTGGTGGTCACCCCAGCTGTGGGTTGCAATGGGGTTGTTAGCTCCCCTGCCCTCTCAAGCTGAACTGACTTCGGGGAAGAACAGAAAGCAAAATACTCTCAGCATGTGTTTGACATGGGGCCCTGTGACCAGATGTCTGAGCTCTCGGGGAACTGTCCATCTTAGCTGGGGAGAAATTAGAGAGCCAGCAGGGTGGGAACAGACAGCAAAGGCCTCTGCAATGCCCAGCAGCTTCCACCCCATACTTCACTGCTTCACAGCCTACCATCTTGAGTCATATACACTCTCTGTCTCCACTTACCTGCCCCCATTCTCTCTCTCTCTCTCTTTTTTTTTTTTTTTTTTTGAGACCGAGTCTTGCTCTGTCACCCAGGCTGGAGTGCAGTGGCACAATCTCAGGTCACTGCAACCTCCGCCTCCCAGGTTCAAGCAATTCTCGTGCCTCAGCCTCTCGAGTAGCTGGGATTATAGGCACCTGCCATTACGCGCCTGGATCATTCTTGTATTTTTAGTAGAGAAGTGGTTTCATCATGTTGGCCAGGCTGGTCTTGAACTCCTGACCTTAGGTGATTGGACCGCCTCAGCCTCCCAAAGTGCTAGGGTTACAGGCATGAGCCACTGAGCCCGGAGTGCCCCCACTCTCTTTTAAACCCACTCCAGTCAGGCTTTTACCCTCATCATTCCATCAGAGCCTTTCTTGTCAACATCACTAATGAACTCCATGCTGCTAATCCCAGTGGCACTTCTCCATCCTCTTCTTACATGATCAATCAGCCACACTTGAGACAATGGATCATCCCCATCTCCTAGAAAATTGCCTTCCTGGGCTTCCACAACACCCCACATTCTCACCTTCCTCCTCCTTGCCTGATACTCTTTTTCAAATGCAAGTGCTTGGTGCTCAGCCCTCTTTCTCTGCTCTGTCTACACACTCTCCCTTGATGACCTTGAAGTCTCATTTATGCACCAACACTTTCTAAATTGATATATCCAGCCAAGAGAGTTTATCTCAGCTCCAAACTGGAAACTCCCACAACCTCCTTGGCAATGCCACTTGGATATCTCACTGACATCCCCCAAATCAATTTCTGATTTCCCTTTATACCCTCTCCTCCTCTCCCCTCAGAAAAACCTGTTTCAGTCTTTCCCCACCTCAGTAAATGGCCACTCCATTTTTCCAATTACTGAGGTCAAACCACATAGAGTCATCTTTGATTCTTCTCTTTCTCTCATAACCTACCTCACATTCATCAACAGAGCCTACTGATTTTACCTCCAAAATATATCAAAACCACCCTCACATCTCACTACCTCCCTCACTAACTGTGCGTCTGTTCTAAAATACCTCCATTTAATGTTGCATAGAAGGATGAGCTGATTCCCTACGTGGGCTCCCACTTCCGCTCTGGCTACCGTCGGTCTCTGCTTGACACAATGTCCAAAGAAATCCTCCAAAAACATAACTCAAGTCCCACCATTCCTCTGCTCAGATTATTCAGATAGCCATTTCACTCTCAGTGAAAATCAAACGGTATAACATCTTTATCAGAATTCTATAATAAAAAAGCAACATAGAACTCTTTCATTGTAACAAATCTTTTTTCCTTCAATTCTTTGCACCGAAATGTTTTTACATCGCAAACATACGATGGATATGATACTGTCCTCTGCTTTTTACACTTGATCTAATAACATACTCATTTTCCACATACCATACTCACTATTAAGTGACTGTACTAAGAAGGCCATCAAGGTCAACTTATCTTACTTTGGGAAATTTGAATTATCCATCATTATCAATGAACATTTTATGCATACAGCTTTTTATTTCCCTTGTATTATACATAACATTAATTTTCAGAACAATTACAGAGCAAGAAAATCAAGTTGCTTTTCCAAAAATTATTATATCTTTTTACATTGTCACAACCATATGAGATTATATCAGTAAGCTACAACATCACAAGCATCAGGTATTATAATTTCTTTTTTAAATGCTAATTTAATCATTAAAGTGATGGTTTATTCTATTTTTAAGTTCTTTCATTATTTGTAAGATTTTGAGTGTGTGTCCCATATTTTCCTTTTGACCTGGTGCATCAGAAATCTCCAAGTTAAGATGAGTGTTTGTTCAATACTCTTTGCTAGTGTCATTATTTAATGGATGCACTGACATTCTTGCTTCATTCCAATCCATTAGCTGGCCCCTATTCTTTTACTTTTCTCCTAATGGTTTTATGGCATATTTTTTTTGAGCTGTCTAAATCTTTCTTAGAATTAAACAGATACAGACACATATGCTTCTGTTAATGCAATGTTACTACAAAGTCCTGTACAGTCAGTCAGTGTCTGGTGCTGCAATATGAGCAAGGAAGAATTTTTAATATTGTCAGGGTTGCACCTTAACTTGAGGCTTATCAACCGGACTACTGATGTTCTGGGTCAGATGATTCTTTGTTGTAGAAGCTGTCTTGTGCTTTGTAAGATTCTTAGCGACATCTCTGGCCTCAACCCACTAGAGGTTAATATTACCCTCCCCACTGGTCCACAGTTATGACAACCAAAAATATGTCCAGACATTGACAAATATCCTTTGGAGGTCAAAATCCCCCCTGTTGATAACTAGTTCCTTAACTGAGGGCTTCGTGCCTCGAGGGAGTCACCGCTTATGTGCCAAGCACAAATCTCAGACCATCCCTGGGATCAGATAAACTCTGTACCCATCTTACAAAGCAACTCTGTGGATCGCCCACCACCTGCTGGCCTCAGGTTTCACCTCTGCTTTTCACAGACCCAGAGCCTTGCTTCAGAAAATTCAAACTTGTCTTTTAGCCCGTATCTACAAAGACCTTGGCTCTCTCAAATCCAGCTTCTATACAATTGTTATACAAGTCATTAGAAATAATCTTTGAAAATGTAAACTTAAAAACAGTGTTGTAAACTTAACCATTCTGTCTCTGAAGACTAATTTTCAAACTATTGTTAAGATACTTACTGTAAAAAAACTGGAACCATAAGAAGAATCTATAATAAAGAAGGTTTAAGAGATATTAGTTCAATCATCAATGAAAAAGCACATGCTAAATGCCTACTTTTAATTCTAAAGTCAAATGGAGTATCCAAGAGCCCTGGCCCAAAAATCAAATACACCAAAACTGAAGAATAAATCTATCTTCATAAGATTTATCTGAAGAAAGCTATCACCATAGATTTCCAAATCTAAGTATATTCATGGAAAAAATTTAACTGGTAAACCAAATTTCAACAATTTGCCAAAGGGTATTGTATTATTTAATTAGTATCTAATTTCACTGGGCATTGCAAAAATTCAGGATAGGAGAGAGGGAATAAATGAAAATTTTTTTAAAAAGAAAAAAATGAAGGAAAAACTTGAAGAGAAAAAAGTGAAATTATAATTTTTCAGATTATTTTAAGTTACATATCTCACAGAAAATGGCTCAAATAATAGAAAACTAGAAATAAAGTGGGAACTTCATCTCAAAAAAATTTAATTCTTCTTTAAATAGCATGTTAAAAACCTCATTTGAAAATCAAATTTTATAAAAGTAGAATGACCCCAAAATAGAGTGTAATATAAGAACTCCATCATTTGGTGTTTGGAACCATTCTGGTCTATTTTGATACATTTTGGGTCCATTGTGAAATCAGCTTTCAGGCAGGCCATGGCCAGCCCTGCCCCATCCTGGACAAAGGTGCTATTTTGTCTCTTAAAAATACCACATAATGCCATCTGCCTTGGGAAGCCCATTCTTCATGTTTCTGCCAAACTCTTTATTTCGTGGTTTTGTATACACTCCATGAAGAAAGAAAAAATTACATAGGAATTATAGTTGGAGCTATATACTTAGGATTATCAGATTTAGCAAATTTAAAATAGAACACATCCAGTTAAATTTCAATTTCAGATTAGAAATAAATTATTTCTTACCCAAGTATGTAACACTTGGGACATACATATATTAACAAATTTTTGTTATTTAAATTTCAAATTTAACTGAATGCCCCCATTTATTAACAAATATCACAATAGGCAATGACTCAGGGATGTGAAGAGAGGCAACTGGCTGCCTATTTCTGAGGTGCAAACTTCTCCATTTGTAAGCAAAACTCTCTAAGATCTTTATCCATCCTAACTTTCCCTACTATAGATTATAAATAAGATGAAGCCATTTATAATGTGGATGTTCTTTATAATAAACAGAAATTGCTTTTGTTTAGGGAATAATCCACCCCAATAATCCAAAAGGTTTGTAATCAAAGTAAATAAATCATCCAAGGCCAGTCTTAAAGGGTTACTAACATGGAAAAGACCAATCCAAATATACAAGAAGGAGGAAATGAATTGGGAATGTGTGTGTGTGTGTGTGTGTGTGTGTGTGTGTGTGTGTGTGTGTGTGTGTTTGGGGAAGGTGGGGACAGATTTTAAAAACAGAATAAGAGAAAGCAAGAAAGGAAGACAACAGCCGAAGAGTGTAAAGGAGTAGGCAGAGTGGTGAGAAGGTAACTGTGGAGACAAAGTCAGGATGGGCTGCAGCCCTCTGAAGGTTATGCAGTGTGTGCACTGCACAAGGTGCCTTCCGAGGGGGTTGAGGAGAGAGAATCCAGCTCCACCCTCCACAACCGTCTGCAGGTGCTGGCCTCATCCATCAAAGACTCACTATGAAAGTTTAGCACAGGCAGGAGTTGAGCATTTAGCATTCTGGGTTCTCATAGCCTCCACAGCTCTCCTTAAGCTATGTCCAGGTAGGTAGTGTCACAGTTATGAGAGGTTTACTTGCCTGGAGTGTTGGATCGTTCTACCCAAAGTCTTTTTAAGTTTTTTGCCTTGTCCATCATTCCATGAATTTCCTCTGCCAGGTCTTGTATCTCTTTTAAAAAGGCCAGGTTGTTGACTTTCTTGGGGTCAGCTGCAGTTTGGAACCTAGACAAACTTTAAACAGAATAAATACTGCAAGTGAAACTCTTTAACAAGAATAAGTTTCCTTGGCATTTTTTAAGATTCTTGATACCAAATTGCTTTCAATTAAACTTGTACCAACTTACACTCTCATCATCTACCCTGAGAGCCCATTTCACCTGACCCTCATCCAAAAGAGAAATCATTATTTAAAAAATCTTCACAAATTTAAAATTAGAAAATCGTTCTCATTCTCTGTATTATCTGAAAGCTTAGCCATTTTATGTTTATAAGCCATTTTTTAAATTTATTTAACACATATTATACAGCATGCCCTGCACACGGTGCCTGGAATAAATACATCAGTGAACAGTACGGACATGATATGATCTGTGCATGAGGAGGAGACAGAGATAATTACGGAGAATGTTTTAGTTTTTTAATTCCATGCCTTTATTTTACAAATTAGAGAACATAGTGAAAATGAATTAACAGTTGTCAACATGCATATCTACCATGAAAAAATAACAAAGCTTACATCACAAAGAGTTACAGTAAATCTCTTCCACAAATATTATCACTTAATTCTCACAACCTATAATGAAGTCAGAGCAGGTTCAACATTTACTGATGAATAAAATAAATTCAATGCCTTTCAAGTCAGCTATTTAGAGATGAGGAAATGTGGCCCAGACAATCAAAGTGAATTTGCTAAAAGCAAGCAGAATGTTTGCAGCAAAGCTAGGTCTGGAGCCCAGAGAACTGAGCACTGGCTTAGAGGACCTTCTACTACAGGTGGTTGCTACGTACACTCAACAGAAATCTCACCTGTTTTTGTTTTGTTTTGCTTTGCTTTAAAAAAAAAATGTAGAGAGAGGATCTTGCTATATCGCCCAGGCTCATCTTGAACTCCTGGCCTCCAGTGATCCTCCCACTTTGGCCTTCCAAAGTATGGGATTACAGGCATGAACCACCATGACCAGCCAGAAATCTTACCTTTTAAGTGTGGCCTTCAACTTGAATGGATCAGAATTTCAAAAGCACAACAAGAAATTACTTCTCTACTGAGGCCTCATATTAAAGGCTAAAAATGACCTCTGAAAGCTATGAACCATGATTCAAACTCTCCTGCCTCACCCATACATGAGATTCGCCTCGGAAACCATAGAATTATCAGATTATAGAAACTGATGTAATTCAAGATGAGTTTCCCCTGTAATAATGAGCAGGTTTTACATTCTTTTTCTAGTTATTATCTCAAAAGTACCTCAATTTGTCCTTAAGACCAAATTAGGAACTATCATTAACATGAGAAATGTTTATAGCAGAAAAATACATAGAAAATCCTGATTAAATGTTAATTTGTGTGTATGTGTGAGAGAGAGAGTGAATTCCAGAGCAGCAGGGAAATCCCAGAGCTATAATAGGATTTGGGTGGAGAGCAGTTTCCTCCTTTCTGAGTACAGGTCTTTATTGAGACTTTTATCAGGTAATGCTTGACCTGCCAGGCTAGGAAAAGACTTGCAAAGGGAAGGGGATAAAAGAGATTACAGTGGGGAGATCAAGAGAAGGCCACTGGGCAGAGATGACTGAACTTTCCCAGCCCTCAGACTGACACTGAGAATCACCCCTTCAAAGGGCCAGGAACCAATGCTGCACCTAGAGACATCCTTGCAATTCTGTGAAGGACCCACTTGAGGTTGTCAGAAGTACATGGGGCCTTGGAAATCATTATTCAGGTCCCTTCCTCAGTTTGAAGATGAGAAAACTTAGACCCAATGAGAGCTCCCTTGGAGTCAAAATGTGTTTAAAGCAGTGTCACACTTGGGAGATTATCTTTAAAATAAGATCAAAATATTACCTACCTAATAGGGTGGTGTGAGGATCATCCAGCACCCAGCACTGTGTAAATAAGCAGGAAGAGAAGCGGCAGTGGTGAGACTAACACTGAGATATGTGCATTTTCAGCATAAGGACTACAAGAATAAGCAAGGAATGTGAAGCAATATGATTATTCTTTCTATTACAATTTTTGTTAATTTTTGCTTAGACAAACAGGGCAAATTGTTATCAAATGAGAATTATCTCTAAGCAGATCCAAAGGCAGAAGTAATTCTCCTAAGAAGGTTGTTATGGCTGACTCACATTACTGCTCCCATTCATCTGAGCCAGAGAGGAAGGATCTGAGGACAGTACTAGGTCAACTCCATAACTTTGCACTTGTGAATTGTGCTACAGTAAATACACAAGAGCAGGTATCTTTTTAATATAATGATTTATATTCCTTTGGATAGACATCCAGTAATGAAATTGCTGTATAGAGTGGTAGTTCTATTCTTAGTTCTTTGAGAAATCAAAATGTTTAAAACAATACCAAAAAATATTAACTACTTAGGAATACATTTAATGAAATATACATAGAACTGAGAGCTACAAAAACATTCCTGAGAGAAATTCCAGAAAGCTTAAAATAAATGGAGAGCTATATCATGCTCATGGATTGGATGATTCAATGTTTTTAAAATGTTAATTCTCTCCAAACTAATCTATAGATAGAAGGTAACCCTTTAGGACAACTGCATATCCACATGCAAAAGAATGAAGTTGTATCCCTTCCTCACACCATACACAAAAGTCAACTCAAAATGGATAATAGACTAAAATGTAAAAGCTAAACTGTATAACTCAGAAGAAAACATAGCAGGAAATCCTTATGATTGAAGGTTAGGCTGAGCATTTTAGATATGACACCAAAAGCACAAACAACAAAAGAAAAAGATAAGTTGGACTTCATGAAAATTAAAAACTTTTACTTCAAAAACACAATCATAAAGTGGAAAGATAACCCAGAAAATGGGGGGGAAAGATGTGGAAATCATATATCTAATAAGGGACTTGTCTGTAAAATATATGAAGAATTCTTACAACTTTATAATAAAAAGACAAATAATCCAATTTAAAATGGGCAAAAGATTTGAATAGACATTTCTCCAAGGAAGATATACAAATGGCCAAAAACTACATAAAAAGATTGTCAACATCATAAACCGCTAGGGAAATGTAAATCAAAATCACAATGGGATAACTCCTTATATCCACCTAGATGGCTACAATCTAAAGAACAGAAATATAAGTATTGGTGAGAATGTGGAGTAATTGAAGCTTTCTACCACTGATGATGGGAGAGCAAAATGGTAGAGCCACGTTGAAAAACAATCTGACGGTTTCTCAAAATGTTAGACGTAGAGCTATCATATGACCTAGCATATACTCAAGAGAAACAAAAACATACATTTATTTTAAAACTTGCACATGAATATTCCAGCATTATTCATAATAGGCTAAAAGTGGAAACAACTCAAATGTACTTCGACAGAGGAAAAGATAAAGAAACTGTCCTGTATCTATACAAGGGAATATTAGTTGATCATCAATTTTAAAATGAAGGATTTTAGATGCTACAACATGAATGAACCTTAAAAACATCGTGCTAAGTGAAAGAAGGCAGTCACCAAACAAAGCCTATAACTTATACAAATTCTATATGTAGGAAATGTCCAGAATAGTAAAATCTATCGAGACAGAAAGTAGTTTAGTTGTATGCCCAGGGTTAGGCGTGGGGGAGATTGGGAGGAAATGAGAAGTGTATGCTAATACATTTAGATTTTCTTGTCAGGTTGGGGAAATTTTTCTAAAATTAACTGTGATGATGGTTGCCCAGCTCTGAATATACTAACAATTATTGAATTGTGTACAGGCCTACCTTGTTTTATTATGCTTCGCTTTATTGTGCTTCACAGATACTGTATTTTTCACAAATTGAAGGTTCATGGCAACCCTGCACTGAGCAAGTCTATCAATGCCATTTCTCCAACAGCATGTGCTCACTTTGTGTCTCTGTGTCACATTTTGGTAATCCTCACAAAATATTTTAAATCTTCATTATTATTATATCTGCTATTGTGTTCTGTAATCAGTGATCTTTGATATTACTATCATAATTGCTCGGGGATGCCACAAACCATGCCCATATAAGATGGAGAACTCAATCAATAAATATTGTGTGTATTCTGACTGCTCCACTGTTTGGCCATTCCCCCATCTCTCTTCCTCTCCTCGGGCCTTCCTGTTCCCTGAGACACAATGATATTGAAATTAGGCTAATTAATAACCCTACAATGACCTCTAATTGTTCGAGTGAAAGGAAGAGTCACATGTCTGTCACTTTAAATCAAAAGCTAGAATTATTAGAATTATTATTATTATTATTAGAGACAGAGTCTCACTCTTGTTGCCCAGGCTGGAGAGCAGTAGCACAATCTCAGCTCACTGCAACCTCCACCTCCCATGTTTATTAATGATTAAGAATTATTAAGTTTAGTGAGGAAAGCATGTTAAAAGCTGAGATGGGCTGAAAGCTAGGACTTTTTCACCAAGCAGTTAATAAATGCAATTCACTAACAGTTAATGAAGTTGTGAATGCAAAGAAAAGGTTCTTAAAGAAAATGAAAAGTGCCACTCCAGTGAAAACACAAATGATAAGAAAGTGATATGGAAAAAGTTTTAGAGGTCTGGATAGATCAAATCAGCCACAACATTTCCTTAAGCCAAAGTCTAATCCAGAGAAAGGTCCTAATTCTCTTTAGTTCTATGAAGCCTGAGAGAGGTGAGGAAGCTGCAGAAGGAAAGTCTGAAGTTAGCAGAGGTTGGTTCATGAGGTTTCAGGAAAGAAGCCGTCTCCATTACATAAAAGTACAAGGTGAAGATGTAAGCATTGATATAGAAGCTGAAGCAAGTTCTCCAGAAGATCTAGCTAAAATAATTGGTGTAAGTGTCTACACTAAACAACAGATTTTCAATGCAGATGAAACAGCCTTGCATTGGAAGATGCTATCTAGGACTTTCATTAACCGGAGAGGAGAAGTCAATGCCTACCTTCAAAGTCTCAAAGGACAGGCTGACTCTCTTGTTAGGGGCTAACACAGCTGGTGACCTTAAGTTGAAGCCAGTGTTTATTTACCATTCCAAAAATCCTAGGGCCCTTAAGAACTATGCTAAATCAACTGCTTCTGTGCTCTATAAATGGAATATCAAAGCTTAGATGGCAGCACCTCTGTTTACAGCATGTTTTACTGTATATTTTAAACTCACTGTCAAAACCTACTGCTCAGAAAAAAATGTTGTTTTCAAAATATCACTGCTCATTGACCATGCAGCCAGTTATCCAAGAGTTCCAATGAAGACGTACAAGGAGATTAATGTTTTCAAGCCTGCTAACAAACATCCAGTCTGCAGCACGTGGAGCAAGAAGTAACTTCAAATTTCAAATCTTATTATTTAAGAAATGAATTTCATAAAGCTATAGAGTCATAGATAGTGATTCAAATTTATGGATGATTTTGAGTGGGTTCCAGACTTCAGTGGAGAAAGTAACTGCAGATGTGATGGAAATAGCAAAAGAACTAGAATTAGAAGTGGAGCCTTAAGATGTGACAGAATTGTTGCAATCTCATAATAAAACTAATGAATGAGGAGTTGCTTCTTATGGATAAGCAAGCAAAGTGGTTTCTTGAGATGGAATCTACTTCTGGTGAAGATGCTGTGAACATTACTGAAATGATAACAAAGGATTTAGAATATTACATAAAGTTAGTTGGTAAGTCAGTGACAGAGTTTGAGAAGATTGACTCTCATTTTGAAAGAAGTCCCACTGTAAGTAAATGCTATAAAACAGCATCATATGCTACAGAGAAATCTTTCATGAAAGAAACAGTCAATGATGCAGTAAACTTCATTTCTGTCTTACTTAAAGAAATAGCCACAGCCACTTCCACCTCCAGCAACCACCACCCTGATCAGTCAGCAGTCATCGGCAACAAAACAAGATCTTTACCAGCAAAAAGATTGACTCACTGAAGGCTCAGATGATCATGAGCATTTTTTAGCTATAAAGTGTTCCTTTATTTAAGTTATGTACATTTTTTAGACAATGCTATTGCACACTTAACAGACTGCAATATAGTGTAAACATAACTTTTATATGCAATGGAAAACTAAAAAATTTATGTGACTCACTTTATTGCAATATTTGCTATATTCTGATGTTGTGAAATGAAACCTACAAGATCTGAGAGTCCAAAAACAGCCCTTCATACTATTAACAAATCAACTGATTTTAAACAAAGGTCCCAATGTATTTTAATGAAATAGAATAGCTTTTTCAACAAATGCTACTAGAATTGTATATACATATGTAAAAAGATAAACCTCAAAAGTTACATCACACCATAGAAAGAAATAAACTGAAAATAAATTGTACCTATAAACAAAAGCTAAAATTATTAAACATAGAAAATACAGGAAAAAATCTGAACAATCTTCAAAAATATTAGGCAAATATTTCTTTGTTAAAGAAAAACACAAAAAGCACTACTCAAAATAGAAAAAAGTGATAAATTATATTTTATCAAAATAACCCTTGCTCTTCAAAAGACACAGCACAAATGAGAAAATAATATTTGCAATACATGTATAATATGTATACATATGATTAAAGACTTGTGACCAGTATATGTAAAAAAACTCTAAGAATTCAATAAAACCAAAAATAAAAAATCAATTGCATAAAATATTTAAACAGACACTTTCCTCAAAAAATATTGAAATGGCCAATAAACACATAAAAAGATGCTTAACATCATTCCTGATCAAGAAAATGTAAATTAAAACTACAATTAGAAAGCACAATACAACAGTATAATGGCTAAAATTAAAGAGAACAACATAATAAGTGTTAGCAAGAATGTGGAGCAACTGGAATTCTTATGTATTGATGTTGGGAGTATAAAATTGCACAACACTTTCGAACAAACAGCCTGGACATACACTATATAGCTAAACATACACTAAACATTTATCCCAAGAATTCTACTCCTAGGTATTAACCCAAGAAAAATTAAAATATTTGTCCACACACAGATTTATTTTTTAATGTTCATAACATTTAAGATGGAAAGAGGCACTGAAGAAGATAGAAAGGACAGTCTTGCGTTGCCTACCTCTCCTCACTCAATCCCAGGCAGTGCAGCATGGAGAAAGATTCTGTGTGCTTGAGGGAGGGAGAGCAAACTAAGTGTGAATCTTTGTACTGAAACTCAGTGCTGCCCTATCACAATAGAATGCAACAAAGGGCAGAATTCTACTGGTGCCCACAGAGGGAGCATTTAGACCAGCCCTGAGCCAGATGAGCATCCTGTGCCACAGCAAGAGGTATCCAAGTCCTGGCTGGCCTCACTACAGGCTGATAAAGTGGTTTGAGATCCCAAATAAATTTGAGTGGCAGGCAGGCCACAAGAACTGCAGTCCTTAGATAAGCCCTGGTGTTCTGCTGGTTTTGAAGGCAGTGGAGTTGCAGTACCAATGCAATACCAGATGTAGTAGCCATTAGAGTGCTTACATCAACCCTCCACCAACTCCAGGCAGTGAGCTTGGGGAAAGACTTCTGCTTGAGGAAGGGAGAAGGAATATTACAGAGGACTTGGTCTGGCAAGCTGGATACCAGTTCAGCCACTGTAAAATAAAGTACCAGGCAGATTTCTGAAGCCCCTGATTCCAGGCCTTTGCTTCCCAATGGCATTTCTAGACCCATCTAGGCTAGATGAGAATCTGCTGCCCTGATGGGATGGACCCAGTCCCAGCAGGATTGGCCACCTGCTGAGTAAGGTGACCTTGAACCTTGAATAAACATCAGCAGCAGCCAGGAAGTAGTGGCCATGGGCCTTGGGTAAGCCCCAGTACTGTACTCATCAGGAAGAACATGAGCTTCAGGTGTGACCCAACATGGTACCATGGGAGTGCCTGCATCACCCCTCCCCCAATTCCAGGCAGCCCAGTGTGGAAAGATACTCCTTCTGATTAGGGGAAACAGAAGGAAGAGAGCAAGAGACTTCAACTGGTAACCCAGAGAATGCTCTCTTAACTTCCCTAAGTCCAACAAGGCTGATTATCTGGGAGTCTTCAAGAGTTGCAGCATTCTTGGGCTTAGGAATGAAACAGCTAGTGCTGAAACAGCTGCAGTGACCACAGGCTTAGGTCACAACATTTATTCCCCTTTGAATTCTTGGAAAGTCCTCTCAAGAAGGATGGGTACAAACAAGCCCAGACTGCAAAGATTGGAATAAATGCCTAACTCTTCAATGCTCAGCCATTAATGAACATCCATAAGCATCAAGAACATCCAGAAAAACACAACCTCACCAAACAAACTAAGTAATCAGTGACCAATCCTGCAGTGACAGAGATATGTGACCTCTCAGACAGCGAAATGTAATATAAATATAATAATATAAATTGGGTGCATCCAACTCTGGAGCATCCATATATAAAAAGCAAATATTAACAGAGCTAAAGAGAGAGAGATCTCAATATAATCACAGCTGGAGACTTTGACACCCCATATTTTGCATTGAACAGATCATTTAAACAGAAAAGCAATGAAGAATCATTTGATTTTATCTACACTATAGATGAAATGAACCTAATAAACATTTACAGAACATTCCATCCAACAGCTACAGAATCTGCATTCTTCTTTTTAGAATATGGAACACTCTCAAGGATATATTATATATTAGGCCACAAAATAAGTCTAAAAAAATTCAAAATAATTAAAATTATATTAAGTATCTTTTCTGACCACAGTGGAATAAAACTAGATATCAATAACAAGATCAACTTTGCAAGTTGTAAAAACACAGAAATAGTGAACAATATGCCCCTGAATTACCACTGGGTCAATGAAGAAATTAAGAAGGAAATTTTAAAATTGTTTAAAAAAAAATCAAAATAGAAAAACAACGTACCAAAACCTGTGGGATACAGCAAAAGTAGTATTAAGAGGCAAGTTTATAGCAATAAATGCCTACATCACAAAAGTTTTAAAAAAAGAAAAAAAACTTCAAATAAACAACCTAACTATGTGATATGGTTTGGCCATGTCCCCACCCAAAATCTCATCTTGAATTGTAATCCCTATGTGTTGTGGGAGGGACTTCATGGGAGGTAATTAGATCATGGGGGCAGTTCCCCCATGCTCTTCTCATGATAGTGAGTGAGTTCTCATGAGATCCGGCGGTTTTATAAGGGGCTTTTTCCCCCTTTGCTCTATGCTTCTCTCTCCTGCCGCCATGTGAAGAACATGTTTGCTTCCCCTTCCACCATGATTGTAAGTTTCCTGAGGCCTCCCCAACGGTGCAGAATTGTGAGTCAATTAAATCTCTTTACTTTATAAATTACCCAGTCTTGGATATTTCTTCATAGCAGCATAAGAATTGACTAATACAGTATGCATCTTAAAGAATTAGAAAAGCAAGAACAAAACAAGCCCAAAATTAGTAGAAGAAATAATAAAGATCAGAGCAGAAGTTTTCTTTAAAAGATCAATGAAACAAAAAGTTTTTTTAATAGATACACAAAATTGATAAACCTTTAGCAATACTGACATAGGAAAAAACAGAGAAGACCCAAATAAATAAAGTTTGAGGCAAAAAAGGAGAAATTACAACTGATGCCACAAAGATTCAAAGGATCATCAGAGACTACTGTGAGCAACTATATATCAATACATCGATTTGGTAGAAATTACATTGAATTTGCAGATTGCTTTTGGAAGCATAGACATTTTATTAATATTGATTATTGCAATCCATGAACATAGAATATCTTTCTATTTTTTGTGTGTCCTCTTCAACTGAAAAACTTAGAAGAAATAAATAAATTCCTAGATACATGCAACATACCAATATTGAACCACAAAGAAATCCAAAATTTGAATAAACCAACAACAGGTAATAAGATAACAGTAATAAACATTCCCCCATCAAAGAAAAGCTCAGGACCCAAACAATGGCTTCACTGCTGAATTTTACCATTTAAACAAGAATTAATACTAATCCTACTCAAACTAATCCAAAAGGTTGAAGAGGAAGGAATGCTGTCAAACTCGTTCTGCAGTGCCAGTATTACCCTGATACCAAAACCAGACATATACACAAAAAAATAACAAAAAAGAAAACCAGAGGCCAATATTTCTGATGAACATAGATGCAAAAATTCTCAACAAAATACCAACAAAACTGAATTTAATATTACATTTAACTGAATTTAATATTACATTTAAATTTACATGTAAATATAATATTACATTTAATATTACATTTATTATGACCAAGTGGGATTCATCCATCCCAAGGATGCAAGAGTGATTTAACATATGCAAATTAATCAATGTGATACATCACATCAAAAGACAAAGGACAAAAACTATATAATCATATCAATAGATGTTGAAAAAGCATTAAATAAAATTCAACATTCCTTTATGATACAAACTCTCAAAAAACTGGATATAGAAGGAACACAATCAAGCACAATAAACACCTCATATGACAAAACCACAGCTACTAGCATACTGAACAGGGGAAAACTGAAGACCTTTTCTTTAAGATTTGGAACTGGAATGCCCACTTTCACTACTTTTATGCAACATAACACTGGAAGTCCCAGCCAGAACAATCCAGCAACAGAAAGAAATAAAGGGAATCCAAATTGGAAAGGAAGAAGTCAAATTATCCTTGTTTGCATATAACATGATCTCATATTTAGAAAAACCTAAAGACTTCACCAAGAAACTATTAGAACTGATAAACAAATTCAGTAAAGTTGCAGGATACAAAATTAACAAAGAAAAATCAATAGCATGTATATACACTAACAGTGAACAATGTGAAAAAGAAACCAAGAAAGCAATACCATTTATAATAGCTACAAATAAAATAACATACCTAGGAATAAACCTAACCAAAAAAGCAAAAAATCCTTGCAATGAAAACTATAAAACCCTGATGAAAGAAATTGAAGAGGACACACAAAAAGTTAGAAAGATGTTCCGTGTTCATGGATTGGAAGAATCAATATTATTAAAATGTCCATCCTCCCCAAAGCAATCTTCAGATTCAATGCAATCGCTATGAAAATACCAAAGATGTTCTTCATAGAAATAGAAAAAAAATTCATTTTTTAAAATCCTAAAATTTATATGCAGCTACAAAGACCTAAAATAGCCAAAGCAATCCTCAGCAAAAAGAGCAAAGCTGATGGCATCACATTACCTGATTTCAAAATATACTACAAAGCTTTAGTAACCAAGTCAGCACAGTATTGGCATGAAAACAGACACATAGACCAATGGAACAGAACAGAGAACCCAGAAATAAATCCAAGCATTAAATTCCTCATTTTTTACAAAGGCTCCAAGAACATTCAATGAGGAAAGAACAGTCTCTTCAATAAATGCTGCTAAGAGTGGATATCCTTATGCAGAATGAAACTAAACCCCTATCTCTTGCCATATTAAAAAAAAATCAAAATTGATTAAAGACTTAAATCTAAGACCTGAAACTATGAAACTAATAGAATAAAACTTTGGGGAAACACTCCAGGACATAGGTCTGGGCAAAGATTTCTTGAGTAAGGCCTCAAAAGCACAGACAACAAAAGTAAAAATGGACAAATGGATCACATCAAGCTCAAAAGCTTCTGCACAGCAAAGAAAATAATATAACAAACCAAGTTAAGAAACAACTCGCAGAATGGGAGAAAAGATCTGCAAACTACACATATGACAAGGGATTAATAACCAGAATATATAACAAGCTCAAACAACTCAATACAAAACAAACAAACAATTCAATGAAAAATAGGCAAAAATCTGAATAGACATTTCTCAAAAGAAGACATACAAATGGGTCACTAGGACATGAACACTTGCTTAACATCACTACTCATCCAAGAAGGGAAAATCCAAATTACAATGAGATATGATCTCATCCCAGTTAAAATGGCTTTTATTAAACAGACAAGCAATAGCAAATGTTAGTGAGGGGTTGGGAAAAAGGAACTCTTGTACACTGTTGGCAGGAAAGTAAATCAGTACAGCCACTATGGAGAACAGAAGGGAGGTTCCTCAAAAAACTAGAAATAAAACTACCATGTGATCTAGCAATCCAACTGCTGTGTATAAATCCAATCCAAAAGGAAAAAAAAAACAGAGACATCTGCACTCTCATGTTTACTGCAGCATTATTCAAAACAGCCAAGCTATGGAATCAACCTTAGTGTTCATCAACATATAAATGGATAAAGAAAATGTAGTACGTATATTATTCAGCCATAAAAAAGAATGACATCCTGTCATTTGCAACGACAAGGATGCAACTGGAAGGCATTATGTTAAGGGAAATAAGCCAGGCACAGAAAGACAAATATTATGTGTTCTCACTTATATGTGGGAGCTTAAAATAATTAAACTCATAGAGACAGAGAGTAGAATGATAGTTACCAGAGGCTGAGAAGGGTAGTGGTGAGGTGGGAGATATAGAGGGGATAAGTAACGGGTACAAAAGTGCAGTTAGATAGAAGGAGTTGGATGTAATGTTGAGTAGCACACTGGGATGACTATAGATAACAATAATTTATTACATATTTCAAAATAACTAAAAGAGTGAAACTGGAATGTTCCTAACACACTCACACACACACACTCACACAAATGATTTATACTTTAGATGATGGATATCCTGATTACCCTGATTTTATCATTATGCATTGTGTATTTGTATCAAAATATTGCACATACCTCAGAGATATATAAAACTAGTATGTATCCACAATAATTAAAAATAAAGACTTTTAAAATATATATTCAGAAACAAAATTTTTTTTAAAAATTAACCAAAAAAACAGAAAAGAACATCCTGGGTCATCCTTACCCATGGGAAAAATAAAAAGGAATGAATTATAGTCATCTGTCACTTAAAGAAGAGAATGTACTGTGGGAAATGCATTCTTAGGCAATTTCATCATGTGTGAACACCACAGAACATGCTTACACAAACCTAGATGGTGGAGCCTACTACATACCTAGCCATGTGGTGTAGCCTATTGCTCTTAGCCTACACACCTGTACAGCATGTCATTGTACTGAATACTGTAGGCAGTTGTAATACAATGGTAAGCATTTGCATGTCTACACATTTATAAAGTACAGTTAAGATATGGTATTATAATTCTATGTGACCCCTGTCATATACGCAGTCCATTGTTGACTAAAATATTGTCAAGTGGTGCATGACCATACTAATACAACCAACCACATAAATAAATCTCAAAACATTTTACTGGGTGAAAGAAGCCAAACACCAAGGATATATCCTTTATATAAAATTTAGAAAAGGCAAATCTAATCTAGATGACCAAAAGCAGACAAGCTATTGCCTGGATCTGAAGATGTGGGGTGAGTGGAGGTAGGTTGGGCTGGGATAGAGCACAGGAGAATTCTGAGGAAAATGAAGATGCTTTATATTTCAATCATGATGGTGGTTACACAGGTGCATAGACATGTCAAATTCATTGAAATGTACTCTTAAATGTTATTGTATAGATCAATAAAGTTGATTTTTAAAATTAACTTTATTTCCATTACACAAGCAATGATAAGTAACATAGTGTAACTTTTTAAAAAATACTATTTGCAATAGCAACAACAAATATAAAGTAACAAGGAAGTAAGTTAATGAAAGATATGCATAACCTTCATGAAAAAATACTATAAAGCTATGTTGAAAGACACTAAAGAAAACCTAAATAAATTAAATAATGCATCAGGATCTCAAGATGCAATGCAACTCCAATAAAAATCCCAATAATATTTTTCACTGACTTGTACAACAAGGTTGTTACACTTACATGGAAGAACAAAGACTTCCCTAAAGGAGAAGTGCAAGATAGAGACATTTACTCCTTCAGATATCAAGACATTAGAAAGCTACAGTAAGACAGCAGGGTATAGTTCAAGGAATGGCTGGGGCTATAACAAGTTGGAGAAGCCAGACGCAGATGCACCACATACAAAAACTTAATTCATGTCACAATGGGATTACAAATCAATGTGAAATTGATAAACTGTTTAATAATACAACTGAAAAAATACTTATCCAAATGGAAAAAAAATGCAGTTAAATCATTACCTTCACCATACATAGACGTAAAACCCAGATGAATTCCAGACCAGCGGGTGAAAGGAAAAACTATAATACTTTAAGAAAATAATGTAAGAAATTATCTTTATAACCTGAAGTAGGAAAGAAAACAAAATTGAAATACTAAACACGGTGTAAAAATAAAATAAGTTTTATTGGAGGAGAAATTTAAAAATAAAAACCTAGCAAAAAGCACATAATTCCCAAGTTTTCAACAGTCCATCAAGAGACATGCCTAGGCAGGGCAAGGAGAGAACCCCAGGACAGAGACCCAGCCCTAAAATGCTCTATTGCAGGTAGACAAGTGACTGCAGTTACAGGGAGGGCTTCCTTAGGCAAGTGGCTGGGTCAGGAGGGGAGACTCTGGGCTCAGGAGCTTGGATCGTTTTTTCTTTCTTCACTCACCCCTCCTGGGCCAGCTCTCCACTAAGTTATGAAAGGGGCTGGGAAATAAACCCCAGACCCATCCGGAGTTGTCTTTCCTCAGTGTGCAGAAGCCATGGTGCTGCATCGCGAGCAGGTAGCTGACCACGACAGAGCTGACTGCATATAGAAGAGGAAGACCTTGGGCTGTGTAAGGGCTGGACAGATGGGGAATACAAAAAGAGAAAGGCCGACCATGCGGTGGAAGGTGCGGAGGAAGGGGAGGGGAGTACTCATCATTGTGGAGGGCCCCAAAGCATCGGAATGGGACGGCAGGCACAGAAGGAATCCTTCTCCCTGGCGAATCTAATGCTGTTACGTCTCCATGTCAGGAAAGCCATTTAAGAAACAAGGATAGGCCGGGCGCGGTGGCTCACGCCTGTAATCCCAGCACTTTGGGAGGCCAAGGGGGGCAGATCGCCTGAGGTCAGGAATTCAAGACCAGCCTGGCCAACATGGTGAAACCCCCTCTTTACTAAAAATACAAAAAATTAGCTGGGCATGGTGGCACCCGCCTGTAGTCCCAGCTACTCAGGAGGTTGAGGCAGGAGAATCGCTTGAACCCGGGAGGCGGAGGTTGCAGTGAGCCGAGATCGCACCACTGCACTCCAGCCTGGGCAGCAGAGCCAGACTGTCTCAAAAAAAAAAAAAATTATAAGTCTAGGAGGCGGAGGTTGGGGTGAGCCGAGATCTCATCATATCACTCCAGCGTGGGCAACAAGAAAGAAACTCCGTCTCAGAAAAAAAAAAAAAAAAGAGTGTCAAGAGAGTGAAAAGCAAACTGAGAAGCTGAGGTGAGGCAGCAGCAGGTGATAATCAAATAAGGCTGAGAACCAGGCAGTATGGTGGTTGGAAAAGAGGCAGAGAGGGTCAGATGATTCTCAGGGGGTCTGGGCATGTTTGAGAATGGAGAAAAAAATAAATTAAAATATTGATGACCACCAAATGAGACCAGTAGGAAATGGCTGGAAACATTTCAAGAAACTGGAAATGAAAGGTCACCCAATCAAAGCCCAGAAGGCAAGGCACCGGGTGCTGTAGACTAAGGGTGGGAGTGCCCCAGCATGGGTATGGCGATCCGCCTCCCGAAGGTTGTCAGACAGTGAAAGGGAAGTGAGGGTCGGGTTTAGACAGCACATTCGCATTACAAAGCATTTTAAATTAAACAAAATAGGAGTGACCACTAACACAAGAATATCCACTTCTGTTGCCTGCAGTGCTTCATATTTCTGCTCTGAAATCCTCTTGTTAAAATGAAGGGGAAACCCCCCAACAAAGGCAGGAATGAGGAAGCTGATTTTCATAACCATAAGCTACATCAGATGGTACCCAGGATTTCTGCCCAAAGTGAACTTACCTGAGGAATTAGGGAGGTCATGGAAACTTATTGAGAGGTGACAGCGTGCTGGCAGTCCTCACAGCCCTCGCTTGCTCTCAGCGCCTCCTCTGCCTGGGCTCCTACTTTGGTGGCACTTGAGGAGCCCTTCAGCCCACCACTGCACTGTGGGAGTCCCTTTCTGGGCTGGCCAAGGCCGGAGCCCACTCCTTCAGCTTGCGGGGAGGTGTGGAGGGAGAGGCGCGAGCGGGAACCGGGGCTGCGTGCGGCGCTTGCGGGCCAGCTGGAGTTCCGGTGCGCGTGGGCTTGGCGGGCCCCGCCCGCACTCGGAGCAGCCGGCCGGCCCTGCCGGCCCCAGGCAATGAGGGACTTAGCACCCGGGCCAGCGGCTGCGGAGGATGTACTGGGTTCCCCAGCAGTGCCGGCCCACCGGCGCTGCGCTCGATTTCTCGCCGGGCCTTAGCTGCCTTCCCGTGGGGCAGGCCTCGGGACTGCAGCCCGCCATGCCTGAGCCTTCCCCCACCTCCGTGGGTTCCTGTGCAGCCCAAGCCTCCCCGACGAGCGCCGCCCCCTGCTCCACGGCGCCCAGTCCCATCGACCGCCCAAGGGCTGAGGAGCGCGGGCGCACGGCACCGGGACTGGCAGGCAGCTCCACCTGCAGCCCTGGTGCGGGATCCACTGGGTGAAGCCAGCTGGGCTCCTGAGTCTGGTGGGGCCTTGGAGAACCTTTATGTCTAGCTCAGGGATTGTAAATACACCAATGGGCACTCTGTATCTAGCTCAAGGTTTGTAAATACACCAATCAGCACCCTGTGTCTAGCTCAGGGTTTGTGAGTGCACCAGTTGACACTCTGTATCTAGCTGCTCAGGTGGGGCCTTGGAGAACCTTTATGTCTAGCTCAGGGATTGTAAACACACCAATCGGCACTCTGTATCTAGCTCAAGGTTTGTAAACACTCCAATCAGCACCCTGTGTTTAGCTCAAGGTTTGTGAGTGCAACAATCGACACTCTGTATCTAGCTGCTCTGGTGGGGCCTTGGAGAATCTTTATGTCTAGCTCAAGGTTTGTAAACACACCACTCAGCACCCTGTGTCTAGCTCAGGGTTTGTGAGTGCACCAATTGACACTTCTGTATCTAGCTCCTCTCCTGGGGCCTTGGAGAACTTTTGTGTCAATACTCTGTATCTAACTAATCTGATGGGGACGTGGAGAACCTTTGTGTCTAGCTCAGGGATTATAAACGCACCAATCAGCGCCCTGTCAAAACAGACCATTCGGCTCTACCAATCAGCAGGATGTGGGTGGGGCCAGATAAGAATAAAAGCAGGCTGCCCTAGCCAGCAGCGGCAAGCCACTAGGGTCCCCTTCCACTGTGTGGAAGCTTTGTTCTTTCGTTCCTTGCAATAAATCTTGCTACTGCTCACTGTTTAGGTCCACACTGCTTTTATGAGATGTAACAGTCACCGCAAAGGTCTGCGGCTTCACTCCTGATACCAGCGAGACCACGAGCCCACCGGGAGGAACAAACAACTCCAGACACGCCGTGTTAAGAGCTGTAACACTCACCGTGAAGGTCTGCAGCTTCACTCCTGAGCCAGCGAGACCACGAACCCACCAGAAGGAAGAAACTCCGGACACGTCCGAACATCAGAAGGAACAAACTCCAGACGTGCCACCTTAAGAGCTGTAACACTTACCATGAGGGTCTGCGGCTTCATTCTTGAAGTCAGTGAGACCAAGAACCCACCAATTCCAGACACATTATGAACTAAATTAACTGTGATATTTGCCTTCAAGATTTTTTGTTTTTTTGAGACAGTCTTGTTCTGTTGCCCAGGCTGGAGTTTAGTGGTGCGATCTCTGCTCACTGCAGCTTCTGCCTCCCCGGTTCAAGCTCTTCTCCTGCCTCAGCCTCCTGAATAGTTGGAACTACAGGTGCCTGCCACCACGCCCAGCTAATTTTTGGATTTATAGTAGAGACAGGGTTTCAGCCTGTTGGCCAGGGTGGTTTCGAACTCCTGACCTCGTGATCCACCCGCCTCAGCCTCCCAAAGTGCTGGGATGCCAGACGAGTTGGTCTCCTCTGTGTGAGACAGCCATGGGCAGCTTCTGAGGAGAAAAGTCTCCTTACTGCCTTCCTGTCTTTATGCCCGAGAGCGTAACAGCTCCGCAGCATTCCACAGGTTGCTCAGGGAGATAACACTCCCTTGAAGCAGTGGAGTATAATCAAACATCTTGGCTCCTCCTGAAACCCGCTCCCACCCATTTCAGTCCAGATAAATTAAAGATCTTAAGTAGTTTAGACACGCCTTTGCTCAAGGAAATTCACGGAAACCGCCATTGCTATACTTCTTATTGAATGACTCAGGAGTTCTCCTTCACTGATTAATCCTTTTCCTCATCCCTTCCTCCCCCTCCCATCTGCCCTAAGAACAAAGAGCTTTGTAAACCAATAAAGTAGGCGGAGCCTGAGAGCTCTGCGCGGTGAGCGAGCCTCCGATGCTCAGGACCCCTGGACCCGCCTTTGAACTCTTATTCTCTTTCTATTTCCTTTGTCTCCGCTGGACTTGGGGTACCTGCCAGGTGGTGTGGGGCTGGTTTCCCCAACAACCCAAAGCGCTGGGATTACAGGCGTGAGCCACTGCACCCAGCCGCTTTCAGGTATTTTTTAACTGAGACAATTACCACAAAATAATCAGGAGTGAGTCTTTATTTATGGGCTTGAACTTCAATTGAATCCACACTTACTCCAATATGAAAACGCATGAAATCTGCTTGGTCAAGTGGCTGAGTCTGAAACCAGAGGCCCTACTGACAGCGTGCTTCACTCTTTCTTGTCTCCTTTCTCCCTCTCCCTCTTTCCTTACTCCTTACAATTTCCTTTCCCTATTTTATTTTGTATTTCTTATACCTCTGACTTGGGCACTACCAGACAAAGTGAGGAATTTCATTCTTCGTTCTCAAAGTTAAAGGCTTTGCAATGCTGGTGAGCTATTAACCTGACTACCACTCTCAGAATGTTAGGTGAAGAATCTCACCAGGTTGCTTTTATAACCCCTGAATTTCTGCACATTGAAGTGAGGATGTTGATGTGGAAAAACACAAAGAAAACAAAGGTAGATTATTTCCTGATATCAAGTAATTTGGGGGGTTTTTTTTGTTTGAGAATGAGTCTCGCTCTGTCACCCAGGCTGGAGTGCAGTGGCGCAATCTTGGCTCACTGCGACTTCCCCCTCCTGGGTTCAAGCAATTCTCCTGCCTCGGCCTCCCGAATAGCTGGGATTACAGGCATCTGCCACCGTGTCCAGCTAATTTCTTGGTATTTTTAGTACAGACTGGGTTTCACTATGTTGGCCAGGCTGGTCTTGAACTCCTGATCTCAGGTGATCTGCCCGCCTCGGCCTCCCAAAGTGCTGGAATTACAGGTGTGAGCCACCGTGCCTGGCCTTCAAGTAGTATTTTTATAATTGTTACAGCCGTAGTAATAAGAATTTGTTATTATCAATTCCCATTGGTTGAATGCCTCTGTGCCATGCATTGCGCTAGATGTTTTCTATATTTGTCTTTAACATTCACAACACTTGAAGTGAGTAAACAGATTCAAAGAGGTCAATTAATTTGCACAGATTCACAGAACCACAGGTAACAGAGCCAGTATTGTTTAGCCACAAAATCATATTCTTCCCACTTCAACATCATTTAAACCTCCCAATCCAAGTAAGGAAGAGACATAAGAAAGACTTGAAATAAAGACACTGCTAAGTCTCAAGCTCTTCTAATGCTTCCAAGAAAGACAGAGTTTTGTATATTTCCCTTCTCCACACATTCAAGAAAAGACCATTGAACTTTTCAGGGTTATCACTTTACAGTATTTTCAAATGAGCCTCTTTATATCATATTTCTATATGATTTGTCTCAGAAAAAGTAAGCACCTACTATGACCTGAAAGTTGGCATCTCCCATCCCCAAATTTTTACGTTGAAACATAACCCCTAAGATGATATAGCGGAGGTGATTGGATCGTGAGGACAGAGCCTTCGTGAATAGGATTAGTGCCCGTATAAAAGAGACCCTGGAGAGATGCCTCATCCCTTCCATTATGTGAGAACACAGCTGGAAGGTGTCATTTATAATGGAAAGGGTTCTCACCAGATACCAGATCAGCTGGCACCTTGATCTTGGACTTCCCAGCCTCCAAAACTATGAGAAATAAATATTTGTTTCTTATAAGCCACACAGTTTATGGTATTTCATTATAGCAGCCCAAATGAACTAAAACAACACCATTTATAAATATTGTACCTGATATGCCGAAAATTATCTGGAAACTTTTAATTTTCCTCTTGTAACTTAGAGTTGGAAAATAAAGATCATATATGTCAACATTTGCTTTACATTTAAATATCTTAGATTGTTTAATATTAGTAAATATAGATTAAATAAAACTCAGATCATTCATACCTGATAAATTCAAACTATCTTAATCCGCTAGCCACTTCCTTCCCTTCCTAACTTCACCTGGGAGAAGTTTCCAGGGCATTCAGTATCCCCCAAGTTAAACCCCCTCACTTTGTCTCTTCTCACATGAAATATCTTCTTCTCCTTCTCTTCTTGAGTTTAAGGCCAACTGACACTGTAGGCAACCACAGGCATAGCTCAGCATTCAGAGACTCAGAGAAGGCAACTTAACTGTCCTGTAGTCCGTTTAGGTGGTTTATGACAAATAAAGAGTTACTGCCCAGTTTTATTTTCCCTCAGCTGGCGACAAGATTCTAGTCAACTAGCAGCACAGGAGAAAAAACCCAGTAGGTAGCTCAAAAAATAATTGTTCTGGGGGCATGTGGCACTAAAATGAAAAGTTGGCTAGACAAGTAATTTTGAAGTCAAGAGTTTTAACCTACAGAAAACAAATTATTACATGCAAATGGCATTTGCTAATCAGTTATTACTCTGTGAGTCCCGCAAGTGACAGTGGAAAGATCTCCTGCTGGAAGCTAACCATTAGTTGGAGGCAGAATTATATGACTCTGAATTTAATAAAACTTTAATTTCTATACTTCTCATGATCTCTGACCTATCCCAAATTATTGAGGCTTTACAAAAAGCAGAAGCCTGTTCTATGTATCAGCTTTCTGAGATTTCTGAAAAAGATCTTTGTGTTTCTCTTACCGAAAATGATGCTCCATTGACCCTTCATAGCTGAAGTTCCTACACCTTGATCCAGTGTTACAAAGAAGGCTTTGAACAAAGGGGATAACACCACAGCTGGGTAGATCTCGGGGCTGCAAATAACCTAGAAATAGATGCAAAGAAGAAATGAGTCCGTATACCTGCTACCAGAAATGGAATTCCTGTTGAGTTGAAATTGTAATATATAACATCATATTATTATATTATTAACCTTGCTATTAATTTAAAGGAGATCTAAGGGCTCAGACAAAAAGAATCAAACAAAATGGAAAAACCTTTATATCTAACACCTTTCTTCCAGGGTCAGTACTCATGTTTCAAGGCAGAATGGCTCTGAGCAGCCATATAGCTGCAGGATTCACAAGCTTCCCCATTCACTGAGTGGAAATAACCCTGATGCACAGCCAAGCTTCCAGACACCGCTCTCTGTAAACAAGCTGTGGGTAGGAAGAATAGAAAGGATGCTTCTTCCCATCTCATATAAAAATGTAGGAGTTTTTAGTTTTGGCAAAAAAACTTCAAGCTTAATGCAAGTTGAATTCTTAATGTTTAAATATAGTTGTTAAATATTGTATAATACAAAAAAATTGTCTACACTGAATAGGACTTTTCAGAACAAATGTCACTACAAAATAGCCACCTCTATGGATAATGTGCTGTTTACACATCCCCAACCATATCCTCCCTTCACACCATCAGGAGGGTGGGAGTGGTGAGGATGCTGATGGCTGCAGCAACATGAAACTTATGATTACCGGCCCGTTTCTCCTGCACAGTACACCTGGTTTTCTATCATTTACCTTCCCTTTTCTCACTCCCTTTGCTCTTCAGGCTGCTGCAGCCGGGCCCTCCTCATCCTATCCCTCTACTGAACTGCCCTGGAAAACTTGTCAGCCCTTATCTACTTTGACTCCAGGTCAAATGTTCATTCTACCACACCTCACTACCTCCCCAGGGAGCAGACCTGGAATGGAGATGCCTGTCCAGCGCCCCAGTATTGCCAGGGCCCATCTGAAACCTGGAGCACTTTCCCAGGTCTCCCCAGGGTCTGTGACCGCTTCTTGTCTTTCTCTTTTCCCAGTCCCTGAAAGCCAGAACACAAAGGCAGCGCTGCCCTGACAGCGGTTTTCACATTCATATGTAGCTCGAGGAAGCAGCAGCACCCTGGGCTTGTGCCTGTCCTCCTGCATGTGCAGCCTGCCCAAACCATAGGTGATCACAAGCCTAACTTCACCAGCACAAACAGAATTTACTGGGACAGATAAATAAAGCTTCTCAAGCTTTAATCTCTCAAGGCACTTAACAGGAAATTTCACTTTCCTATGCAAATAATCTTAACTTTGGAAGATTATTTATTCTTAGTGAAAATACCCATATATGCAGTCTTTGGCTTCATTCTAAAGTTGTAAAATCCATATCACCTTTTCTAAGGTCCCTCTCAGTCACAGCACAAGAACGGGGCCAGCTCTTCCTGTAACAAGACAGGCACAGAACATCTTCCACATGGTGGTGACTTCAGGGGTCAGCAACAGTGCCCAGATAGTGCATTTCCTTGACGTGACTTCTGTGTCCCCTCTATCTCTCCAGGAACACATCAGAAATGGTGGCCCCACAGACAGTGCTCAGTGGGTCAGAGACTGAGGACTTCAGCCCTGGGCACACTTTGTCTCCAAGATTAAAGACCTGGCATGGTAACATCAGGCCACCCCAAAACAGTGGGAAGCATGAGGGAGGGGGATGGGCATTTTTTAGTCATTGCCATGCCAGGCTGGTGCTGAGTGCATGCTCCTGACTGGCTTTCTCACCAAGTCCTCACAGCAGCCCTGGGAGCCAGGGGAAATTTGCTGTCTTTATAGAGAAGAGGCTCACAAAGGTTGCACGCCATGCCCATCCCCACAGAGCTGATGGGGGGCTTGATGGAGCTTCAACGTGCAGTCCTTGATCAATTTTGACTCTTGAGCCCCTTGAGGCTCTGACAAAGCCTTCCCTTCTGTAGGAAAGCTCATCTGCATACCTCTAGGAAACATTTCCAGTGTTTCTTTGGGCCACATCTTTGTTGGACTGCAGTCCTGATACAAAGCAAGAGTTTGATAAATGTTTAATGGATGGATGGAAACTTCGAGGATAAGGAACATCATAAGCTACCCTTTCCATAGGGCAGGACTGAGCTACTACCACAGTGGATGGCAGACTTAGTGCTCTCTATCATTTACAACTAAATCATTCACAATTTTGCATTAGCCACTATCATTTTGAGGCTTCTTATCAGTCCTGATACCACGTTATCCTCTGGTTGCATGCAAGCTTTTTTTGCCCTGTTTTGCCCGTTTCTCCTGCACAGTACACCTGGTTTTCTATCACTTACCTTCCCTTTTTTCACTCCCTTTGCTCTTCAGGCTGCTGCAGCCTGGCCCTCCTCATCCTATCCCTCTACTGAACTGCCCTGGAGAACTTGTCAGTCCTTATCTACTCATGCAGCAACAGCACCTGTCACTCTGCCATACCTCCTTCTTTCAGTGCTTCCCAGGCAGACTCCAAACCTCTTTGTTTCCCTTCCAGCACTCTGGTTGCTGCTTATTGTCTCCTCTACTTGTCCCTTGAATGTGCTCTTCTTGAGGCCTATGTTCTGGAAGTTTCTCCTTCTTAGGTGTCCTCATCTATGTGATTCCAAATTCATAATCTGATTGATTAGGCGACTCACTCTGACAATCACAAGAGTCCCTCAAATTCAGGATGGTCATGCTGAGCACAGCTCCCCAAATCCCCCACATGTCCTGTGCCCTGTCAGTTCAGTGGGAGTGCACTCTCCACTCAGCTGTTCCAGTCAAAGGCCTCCCTGTCCTCATGCATCCAGCCAGTTGTTTCTTCCCATCTTACCTCCTTCATGTCTGTTGAATCTGCCCTTTTCCCACTGCTTCAGGGCACAACCATCTCTTGCCTGGTTATTCAAGAGTTCCACAAGTTGATCTTGCCTTCTCTAGTGTTGCTCTCCACCAATCCCAAATTCTGCCTTTTCCAGTGTCCAGAATGTGACCCCTAAATGCTCATTTTATTATGACCTTGCCTGAAACCTTTCAATGGCTCCTTCATGTTCTTTGAGAGTTCACCATCCTCAACATCATACAAAGCCCTTTATTGATTTGACCCTGCTTACTACTTCAGCCACATCTCTGCCTTTTGGTTCTACTTTAGGTTTTTGTCCATGCTGTCTGCCCTGCCTAGGCAATTTCTCCTCTGCACTCTCTTGTTCTGACAAAGTTGCACAGTGCCTGAGAAGGCTTTCTTTAGAATGGATTGGCTGACCCTCTTGTGTGCTCACATGGCTCCCTGTATAAAATCCCATCATGGCAATTTTCCCACTACAGTCTAATAGTCTGGCCCTACAGTGAGCTCTGCAAAGGCAGGGAAAATGCCTTGTCCACCATTTTATTCTCAGCCTGAAACACAAAAGGCACTCAATACATATTTATTGATAATAATAATAAAGTAGAAACCCTGAAAAGCTTTTTAGGTTTTCTTAAATGATATTTTACTCACATGGGTTTTACATTTTTCCATTCTGCAACACACAATAGAGTCTCCAAACAACAAAGACAAACTGATAGGAATGGTCCTAATATGTGTAAAACCTAAATATAACTGACACACTGTTTTGGGTAAATCCCAACACTTATTAAACCCTTATTGATGTAATGATTACAGAGTCAACCACATTATACATATTTAAGTGGTATAGCCTGATAGAGACAAAGCAGGCCACTATTTCTCAAGGAGTGATGTTGTTAAGGTTTCAACCCAGAAAAACAAAATGGTCCATCTGACCATTTTCCTGAAGCACAGGAAGTTACCAGTAATAGTTTATCAGAGCATCACCATCACAACTGATAGCATCAACATAGTAATCACTATCATCACCATCAATATCATTTCCATCATTACCATCACTATCATCACCAACAACACCATCATCACTATTATCATCTCCATCGTAATCATTACCATCATCATTATCTCCACCATCATCTCCATTATCATCATCATCACCATCATTACCATCATCTCCATTATCATCAACATCATCACTGTCATCTCCATCATCATCTCCATCATTATCATCATCGTCCACTATCATCACTCTTATCATCATCATTATCACTATCAGCATCATCATCATCATCATCATCATTATCATCATCATCAACATTGTCATCACCATCATCATCTCCATCATTATCATCAGCTGCATCATCACTACTCTTCATTATCATCATCATCATCATCATCATCATCACCATCATCATTATTATTGCTGTTATCTCCATCATCATTTCATCGCTATCATCACTATCATCTCCATCATCATCACCATCATCTCAATCATAATGATCACATCATTACTATTATCTACATTATTGTCAGCATCATCACTATCATCATCTCCCTCATCATGATCACGGTTATTATCTCCATCATAATCACTCTCATCACTATCATCATCTTCATCATCATCACCATCATCACTATTTTCCCAATCATCATCTCCATTATTATTACTATCATCTTTATTATCATGAAGATCATCACTATCGTCACCAGCATCATCACTATCATCTTCATCATTACTATTATCTCTATTATTATCACCATCATCACTATCATCATCTCCATCATCATCTCCATCATCATCATCATCATAGTTACTATTATCTACATCATCATCACTATCATCATCTTCATCATCATCATCATCTTCATTACTATCATCTCTGTCATCACAATCACCACTATCATTATCTCTTGCACCATTATAACTATCATCACCATCATTATCATTTCTGTCATCATCATCACCATCATCTCCATCATCACCATCTTCACCATCATCATCATATCATCAGCATCATTATTTTCTCACCACCATCATCACCACCATCAACATTACTATCAGTATCATTCTGATAAACTATGAAATGCATCTCCCACTTCTACTTCTTCTCCTTTCTATATTTATAATGGCTATTTACTTATGCCCAGATTGTGTCAGTTTTAATTGGAAGAATAAATCTATGTGCTAGATTGAGTGAACCTGTGTGAATATCATTCTTAAAAGACAAAACCTAAATTGTGGCTTATTGACATATACTCCAGATATGTTGTTATTGTCATAATGAAACCCTATCTATTCATTTCACTCAGCATTCAGAGTTTATAAAAAACAAGAAAGAGTGCTATGAGTTTTTTTTCTCCAAAGGTTAATTCAAAAAGTATATTAAAAAGTGAAACTTACAAATGTCTCTGTATCTGGGAGGTTCTTGAAAACGAAGAACTGTCAGAATTACAAACAGGATACAAGGCCAGAAGAATTCAGCAAGGAAAAGGACCTAGAAAATTAAAAAAAAAAAAAAATCACCTGAATAAATTGTAAGGTATTACAATATTTTCATCTCTTGAAGGAGGTCATTTTAATCCCTGCTGTGTGTCTCAGAACAGTCATTTGGGACAGGAGCCCACAGACAAGGCCTAGTTCATTTATCATTGCGTCCAGATCTGTGACGGTGTCATCTCCTTGTTCTTCTCCCATCAGACCCAGCTTTTGCTTCTTTCCTTTTTCTGCACATTTTTATTTATTTCAGAACTTATGACATTACAGAAATTAAAGAAATAAATAACTTCACCCGTATTTCCCATACTTCAATACAGCAACTATTTTTATTTTTCTAATTTCTTTAACATTTCTGACTTTTTTACCCAAATAGATATTTTGCTGGCTTTGGTGGTAGCATCCACTTCTCATTTACCTTCATTTTATGCATATTTTTCAATATTGCCAAACAAGATTTATAACTATCAGCTTACTTGTTGCATAATATTCTTACCAAAGGAATATCCCATAATTCACACATTCTTCTGTTAAGTAACATTTTTGTGTATAAATAATCTTTCATTTGAATTATTTTCTTAAAATTAGAATAAACTCCTAAAACTAAGATTACTGGAGTAAAATCTCTTGACACAGACTACAAAAGAGCTACTCAAATGATTGCAATACTTTGTACAACCTCAAATTTTCAAAGTTAAAAGAAAATTAACTTTGACACATGGAATTTAATCATTTCACACATGGAATTTAATCATTTGAGGAAAAAAAAAAACACCACCTATAAGGTATAGCCCAAAAAATTAATAGAAAAGCCTCAATTGTCATAAAATTAATTTTACTGTCATCATTCTTCACTTGTTTTATGGTGGATAATCTTGTATTGAATTCATGTGACATCATTTTGCAAATACAAAAGTTTATAGCCAGACAAAAAGTAGGCAAGCCATTGAATAAATGCACAAAAAAAAACCTAAAAATCTGCAGGCTAAGAATGCTCCATCAAACACCAAAGAGGATATCTTACTGTTTCAGATTCCCAGTTATAATGCTTTGAACTAACATGAACTTCTGGTCACTTTGGTTTCTTTATTCTTTGAACTGCCATGGTCATATCCCATTGCAGTAATCCTTCCTTGTAAGCAGATCTAAATGTGACCAGATGAGTGGCCTAAAGCCATGAAGACAAAACACAGGTGTAAAAGAGTTTTTCCATCCCTGGTATAATTAAAGAAGAAAAGAAATCACCCTCTTTGGCCGGGCACGGTGGCTCACACCTGTAATCCCAACACTCTGGGAGGCCGAGGCAGACGGATCACTTGAGGTCAGGAGTTCCAGACCAGCCTGGCCAACACGGTGAAACTGCATCTCTACCAAAAATACAAAAAAAAATTAGCCAGGCATGGTGGCACACACCTGTAATTCCAGCTACTCAGAAAGCTGAGACAGGAGAATCACTTGAACCCGGGAGGTGGAGGTTGCAGTGAGTCGAGACTGCACCACACTGCACGCCAGCCTGGCAACAGAGCGAGACTCCGTCTCAAATTAAAAAATTAAAAATAAATCACCGTCTTTGAAATATTCCACGAGGAAGTATTTCTTGTGACAAAAAGTGCATCATGATTAAAAAGTTCTCTGACACAGTCCTGAAACCTAGTTTCACACATTCTGATAACAAAGAAAATGCCTGCAGATCACCCTCTGGTTCAAGGGACCACAATTAAACTATAAAGAAAGGTCAAGGACGCTCAGGAGATAACTACTTATTTAAGTCATTTTGGTCATTCTTTGTAATAAATTAATAAGTTACTGGAGTATTGGGGTAGGGAGGTGGTGGGGGAAGATTCCATCATTAATTCTGACTGAATATAAGTAAGCAAAATAAAAAATATACCTCATATTAAATGATAACTTGATAGCATTAAGAATAATAAACACATAATTTTCTTGGGTTTTTTATTCTGTTTCATTTTTAATAACATACAATAGCTATTTTTTAAGACAAGTAGTTGTATAAAAAACAGAAAATGGTTTATAGAACCAAGACTCATATAACTTTTGACATTATAAATATGTAAATAAACATATGTATGGTTAAGAAATTTTAAAAGTACAGAAAGATTATAACCACTCTCCTATAGGATAAACTATCTATTTACAAAATACATGTATATGTATAACTAATGTGTTAGAACCAATTTTCCATAACAGCACTTATAGTTCTACCTTGCTACTTTTAAAGGCTACATAATATTCCACCGTAGGATTTAATTTATTTAACCAATCACTTCATCATGAAAATTTGCATGTTTTTCTATTTGGGGCCAGTGATATCATGAGGTTGTTTTTCTTTTATCAATTAAAGTGGTACTTACTTAGAAGAGAAGCATTTCTGCTTGAAATTGAAAACTCTCTTAGGAGTGTTTCTAAATTTTTTCTATTACATGACACTATTGAAATATTACAACTGGGAAAATTTTGCTCAAATTTGCAACAGTTTTCTTGAAAAGGTAAAGGCCATCAAAGTCAGACATATGTGTAGCATGAATTTTGGTCCAAAACACCAAATATATTACTCTATTATAGTTGATTACAGATAACAAGACAGCAACATACTAAAACCAATGCACATTATGAAATCAAGTAGATGCAGTTCAATGAATCCCAGCTTTTAACTTCATGAGGTTTTTTTTACATATTTGGCTGACTTTTGTAAGTAGATCCGTGAGGTACCATTGCCAAATGGGATTACTGCACTGAAGTGTATATGATTTTTAATGTGGATTTTTAATTTGGATAGATGTAGTGAAAATGCCCTCATTAAAAACTAAACCAATTATCATTTACTCTGATTGCACTCTCAATAGCACCTAGGATTAACAAACTTAATTTTTTGTCAAGCTGATATGCAAAAACATAATGATAACTTTAGTTATTAAGATCAAGCATTTTTCACAAGTTAAGCATATAATAATTCCTTGCATATTAACTCTCTGTTCTTCCAGTTGCCTATTTTTCTATTAAGTTGTTCTTTATTTTTACAGACTTACAAAGCATCATTTTGTATTTAATTTTTTAATTAAAGAATTCAGCCTTTTCATGGCTTATGGTATTACAAATACTTTCTCCAACTTTGTATTTGCCTTTTTATTGTCTAAATCTTTCATGCCATTAATTTATCAATCCTTTTATTTATAGTATCTGGATATTGTTCCCTTCACATGAAGACAACATCATTTAAAGGACCCTGCCAAAGCCAAATTAAAATAGTAGTAACTCTAAAATCACAAATATTTTTCAGTCCAGTCTTAAAAATCCACATCCGATCTCTAGTTTCAAATGAAAATATTATTGGAAGAAAATAAAACCTTGAATCTTATCGTTGAGAAGTTTCTCTAAGCATCTTGAAATAATAACAGAATTCCAATTAAACCTAAAAAACAACATCTCAGAGTGTTTTATTTACAAGGTGGTCACTGACCCTTCTGAAAATCACAAGTGAAAAAATATCTTTCATTGTTCTGAATTTGAAGTTGCTCCATTCAAGAGAAAAGTAGCCAGACACCAGTTCTGCTGTGTCATTTTCCATTGTGTGTGAGTGGCTTTCATAAGACTATTTCTCTGCAGGGGTGCAAAGGCAGCCTTCCCTTTCTCATCACATTTTTAATCACGTTTTTCTTCTTATATGTCATTATTATCCTCGAATCTTGCTTAACATTTTGAATCTTACCCCTGTTAAATAGGAATGCTGTCTGATTAATGCTAGGGCTTCACCGTATCTCGCACATCTCAGACCTTCCATTGCTGACTTCTTAACACCAGAAAGTGACCCAATCAGAAGCAGAAACTGGCACTTCTGCTGTCCAAATGCGCTGGCACAGATGCTGCCACAGGCTCTCCTCTCAAGAAAAATAACCGTCTGGTAAACCTATTAGCAGTTAACAAAACAATGCCCCCACTACCAAACCACCACAAAGCCCTCCTACTCTTCCAGGAGGGAAGCTCCGACCAGCAGAGGGTGGAAGCGTTCAGTCCTGTACCCCGGAGCTTCCCATCCGCAAGGCACTTCTCACCATGAATTTCGTGGATGCCCAGATCCCTGTTCCACTACCATTCCTCTCACCTTGTGGGCTGAGCATGAATATAAACCTTTCCATGTTTCCATCAGCACAGCTGAGCCACGATGGCATTTGGGAAGACATTAGCAATACATACAGATGAACATGTACACAAAAAGGACTCCTGGGTAAAATGATACATTGAAACTTCCTCACAGACTTTTTCTTCTTCCAGACAAAATGGGTGGGGTGGGGGGAGAGAAAAGAAAATAAATTAGAGGAGGCAGGAATAAACTTGTATTTGCCTAATAGAAAAAAACTACCAAAACGTAAAAAAAAAGAAAAAAAAGTTTCTAGAGCAGATCAAATAAGCCTACCATACTTCAACCCCAACTCAGTTGACAATCTCTAAAGCCATAACAATGTCCCCTCATAATCCTGGTGACTATCCCCAAAACCCACATCCATGGAGATGAGCAACCCAAAGGAGTCTCCTTATCTCCTGCTTCTGACAGAGGAGTTGGAAAAACTGCTACTGAGAATGATCAAATAAACAAGGAAAGTGAACAATGAGGCTGACTCTCGAGGAAACCTCCAGGACTACATAGAGAAATGTGAGAAGAATCCAAAGCTGGAGAGCAATTTCCACAAAATGAACTGAACATTACACAAAACGTTTAACAATTTTTCATAGGAGAGCACGGAGCCCAACTGGTCTAATAAAGGTTGTATTGCATCTCAGATGATTTCCCTCACTCTTCTCCATGGCTGTCCTGACCATTTCCAATCTTCTCCTTCTATAGATGATTAGAGCATACAGGATATGCTTAGGGATCACACTAGATATTGAAGGAGAAATAAAACTGTTCCCAGATTTATTGAAAAGAGAGTCAAGAACAAATATAATACCTGGGCTGAACTCCCCAAGTATAGGTGGCAATAAAACAAAGAGCACAGCTGCTATCTAAACATTAGGAAGGAAATAAACCAACAGAAAAAGAAAAAGAAAACAAAAGGAAGTCATAAAGCATGCCTGGAAAAGAAACAACTCAAATAAAATGAAGAATTTCTTTACAAGTGCCCCATTAAGAAGAACACTTTAATAAGGACAAATATTCAGAAAACAAGGGCTCAGAAAAAAGATATAAACAAATAAGTAAAAAAGAGATTGTGGATCTAAGAAAAAAAACAAAAAAATCATCACTGTGGAATGTTAAATGATTTAGAAACCATAAAAAGAAAATACATACTAGTTAAATTTCAATTTTTGGAATAAGAAACAGCTTACAATAACAATAATGATTTTTAAAAACATTTTAAAGGCAAAAATATTAAGACGCAAAAGCTAATATATTTGAAAAACAAAGACTATACAACATAAGGAAAATTGGCACCCCCAAAGTAAAGAATCCAACAAATTGAACAAAATATTTTTTGACGATATTCCTCAAAGATATAAGATAGGAGAATTTCCCTGAAATAGAGAAGATTTCATCTGCAGACTGAAAGAGTATACTATATTTCAGAAAAATAAAATAAGCTGTAGTTAAACTACGGCCATTAAACTTCAAGCTACTGAACTTCAAAAATAAACTATTACTACTACAGGTGTCTAGACAGACAAAAAAAAAAAAAAGACAACTCCCTAACAAGAGAAGAAAATCAGTCTGGCCTTAAATATATCCTCAAAACATTTCATGTTAGATGCCAATGCATCAATTTACAAAGTTCTAAGAGAAAAAAAGTAGGATTAAAAAAAATGACACACAGCTAAATGGCCTTTAAACAACAAATTTTACAAATATATATGTATATATATTTGTGATATATATAGAGAGACAGGGACTGATATATATATGTATACACTGATATATATATATATATACACACACACATATATATATGCATATACACACAGATATATACATATTCTCAATAATGAAATAACACAGATAATATATTTACCAAACACCCTGAGGGGTGAAAAGGCTTGGCAATGAATTCCAGACCAAATGAAAATGGAAGAAAATTTTAAATGAAGGAATATCACTTCTGCTTTCAGTAGTATGCTGACTAGAAACGACAGGGGCATTCCTGCTAAAAGAATGTCATTTTTCTTGCATTTCTGGTCTTTCTGGAAGTAAAATAAATCAACAAAGAGCTGAGGAGAGGAAAGTGACCAAAAAATAAATTAGAAAAAACAATTCATGAGCTGAATCTTAACATATAAGATTCAATTTAAGGGAGAGAGTGCCCCTCAAGGGGAGTGGAGAGAAAGTAGGAGTGGCTATATTTAAGTAACTAGTGGCTAAAATTTTTTTTAGAAAATATGAAAGACACAAGTCCAAATCCATAGATAAAGTACATACCACATTTACTAGGAAAGCTAAATCTACACTAAGACATGGTATAGTGAAACTTCAACACAACTAAGTAAAAGAGAATATCTCAATATCAATTCAAGAATAAGGACACATCACCTCAAAGAAATAATTAGAATTACTGAAGACTCATCAAAAATAAGAACCCAGAGATAGTTAAATATCTTTAAATTGCTGAAAGAAATTCTGTCAATCTAGAATTGTATACCCAGAAAAACAATCTCTCAGGAATGAGGCTAAAAGAAATTTTTCACATAATCAGAAACCAAGTTATCCAACAACAGACCTACACTAAAGAAACTTTCAAATAGTATGCTTTAATTTCAAATAATGCTTAGATTAAACTCACTATTTGAAAGACAAGAATTATCAAGCTTGATTTCAAAAAGAAAATGCTATATGCTATTTAGAATGGCTGTAATTAAAATATAAGGACATAGAATGGTTAAAAGGAAGGAGATGAAAAAGATATGGTAGGTAAATATTAAACAAATTAGTTATGTTAATATCAAACAAAGAAGACTTTAAGACAAGGAAAGTTGTCATTCTTATCAATATATAAGGATATCAATCAATGATTGAGAGGATTAATACATAACAAAAAGATTGATACCAAAAAGTATAATAATATTATGAACGTGTATACTTAATCATTTAACCTCAAAATATATAGCACAACAATTACATTATATTACAATATTTTATTACAGGAAGAAAATTCTGAATTTACCTTCATAGAAGGAGAATCCAATACCTACCTCAATAACTTTCTACAACAGCAAGTATTAATCAAAAAAAGTGTTTTTAAATAACATATGATTTGTATTATCAACAAAAGATAAAGCATCTGGGGGAAATTTTTGACTAAAGTTTGTGCAATTATTTCATAAAGAAAATTATAAAACTTTATTGAAAGACAGCAAAAAGAAGCTAAATATATGAACAGATTAATATCATTACTGCATTAAAAAACTCAGTACCATAAAGATGTTAATCCTACCCAGATTGATCTGTAGGCTCAATGCAATTCTAATGGAATTCCAAAAGGTTTTTGTTTGTTTTGTTTTATTTGCTTTGATCTTGCTGTTGTTATCATACTTAATGAGCTGATTCTAGAATGTATTTGGGAGAAGAATGGTCAAAAATACTTGAGACAATTTTCATCAACAGGTTGAAATAACTTGTCCTTTCATATAACAAAGCTTTCTGTAATAGTAATTAAAACACCATGCTATTAGTTCCATAATAAGCAAAGCAACCTGTGGAAGAGCCTAGCAACAGAGCTGTGCATATTTGGAGACTTGATGTATGAGAAAGGTGGTTGACAAATCAAAGGGACAATAATTTCTTCTGCAACAAATTGTGCTATAAAACTGGTTATTCTGAGAGTGGAGATAGAGGAGGCAGGGATAGATTAGGTCTTTGTCATCATCATATAAAAAACTCTAAATATGAGAAAACAACAACAACTTTCAGCCTAGGCAACATGGAGAAACCCCATCTCTACAAAAAATACAAAAATTAGCCAGGCATGATGGTGTGCCCTTATAGTCCCAGCTACTTGGGGGGCTGAGGCAGGAGGATTGCTTGAGCCCAAGGGGTTGAGGCTACAGTGAGCTGTGTTCTCACCACTGCACTCCAGCCTGGATGAAAAAGTGAGATCCTGTCTCAATAAAAAGTGAAAGAAACTGTCTTTTTATTTTTTTGAGATAGTCTTGCTCTGTCACCCAGGCTGAAGTGCAGTGGTGCAATCTCAGCTCACCGCAATCTCCGCCTCCCAGATTCAAGCAATTCTTCTGCCTCAGCCTCTCAGGTATCTAGGATTACAGGCATGCGCCACCATGCCTGGCTAATTTTTGTATTTTTGGTAGAGATAGGGTTTCACCATGTTAGCCAGGCTGGACTTGAACTCCATACCTCAAGTGATCTGCCCACCTCAGCCTTCCAAAGTGCTGGGATTACAGGTGGGAGCCATCACACCTGGCCAAAAGTAAACGAAACTTTTTTAAAATGTTCAGAAGAAAACAGACAGTTTTCCTTTTCTTTTTAATGCTTAAATAAGACACGAAAGTCATAAACAACAAAAGAAACTTAAGCTATTTACAAATTTAAAATCTCTGTTCTTCAGAAAAGCCATTTGAAGAGTGGAAAAGACCAGCCATAGACTTGAAGCATCTATTTCAACATGTATAACTGATAATGCAGTTATCTGTAATACCTACAAATGCCTACAAATCAATAGTAGGAAATGATAGAATTGAACACAGTCAAAAGAAATGAGCAGACAAGATCAAACTATGAACACCTTATATGATGCCCAGTTTCAGTAGTACTCAAGCAGATGCAAATTAAACCCCAATGAGATCATCATTTTACACCCACCAATTCGGGACAATGTAAAAAGCCTGAGAGTACTCATTGTCAGTGACCATATGCATAAACAGGAACTTTGGACAGCAATTTGACAATATTAGTAAGCTAAGGATTTGCAAATTCTATGGCCCAATAATTCAATAACTATGTAGTAAATTGAACCATATTAATTCTGTTAGATTAGACTGGTTTCAACCTTAAGAATACTATATAATTTAACCAAATACACAGTTGTTAAGAAGGGATTATACACATGAACCAAGAGGTATGCTCAATGGTCAAAAGTGTTTACACAACATTACTTGCGAAAGAAAAAAAAATTGGAAGTCATGCAAACCCCGTCAATGGGAGAATAGATCAATAAACTGTGGTGTACTAAGGCAATAAAAATAAGTGCTTTCACTCATTCGTTCATTCGGAATTGTGTACCACGTCAGGCACTGTTACAGGGACTGGGGAAATAGCAGTGAAAACCAACATGACCTAGTTTCTGTCCAAGAGGATGGAATGAATGTCCTTGTGAAACTAAATGAAGCAGAGCCGTACACAATCCCTGAATGAGGCTCTCCTGGGAATTCAGATGTGAAGACCAAGCCCTATCCTTAAGTAGTTCGTTTGCATAACCATGAAGCATTTGCAAGCACTTGCTCATTCATTATTTAATCCTCACAACAACCAGTGAGATAGGTAATACTGTGCCAGTTTTACACCTTTTATGTCATAAAGATTACTATTTTGTGCAATATCTTGGAACTAATTTGTGATGGTACCTGGACAGAAGCTCAGGCCTACAGATTAAGTATGTAATTTTCCATCTGTCTTGAACAAACAATCTCCAGATTGAGTCTAAATATATTTTTAAATCCTCCAAGTGACTCATGCGGTATGTGGATTTGGTTGCAACTAAAAACCACAAAGAATAAAATGCTTAGGTACAAAAACTAAAATTGTAAATGAATAAGAAAGAAAGAGAGCCTTTCAAAGGGAGGAGCTAGCCAGAAGATCTCGTTGGCTGAGAGAAGAGGAAAACACCATAAGTTTAGAATATCCAGGAAGCTAAAGTAAAGCACATAATTAGTCTGTTGCCCTTGTCTTTGGAAACAAAGGGCTTTGAAAGAAGCATGAAATTCTATTGTGTCTCTTTGGGGCACTTGGGGCCTCTAGATGCCAACCTCTCAAAAGAGGGGACTTTCCCAGATGTATTTTGAAGTTCTTGTTGTTAAGCACTGCAGGAAAACACAGCCCAATGTTCACACAAGGAGTTCCAACAAAGCACAAGTCCAAGCTAAGAGATAATCCAAATGCCAAACAGCAACTATAGTTACAGTTGATCTGCCTAGATCCTTTACAGTTAGGAGTCGAGGCTTCCAAACATCTCTCCATCAAAGTCCAAAATTCCTTCCCCAAGTGAATTTTTGCAAACCTTTTAGTTAGTTGGATACTGACAGAAAGAAATAAACCAATTTTTTTCTCCCTTCTCTCTTTTTTTGTGAGGAGTAGGGTTGTTTTTTGGCTTTCTATTGAAAAATAATTGCTTTTCTTTCAATGTTCATTCAATGAACATTTATTTAGCACTTTCTCAAACATTGAGCTAGAGACTTTGGCATTATAAAGATGAATGAGGAATACTTTCTCCACTCAAGTACTCCAAGGAGACACACAAATAATCAAAATTAAGTATGAACACTGGAAGGAGATGCATATTGGTACAACCCTTCAGGAAGTCAAGTAAGCAAGATGTTTTTAAATTGTGAGATGTACATACTCTTCAACCCAAAGATTCTCATTTGATAGATTTTTAATGAGGAAACAATTGGGAAAGTATCTAAAATATGTATAAAAGAGTTATTTTAATATTGTTTCAACTGCAAAAAAATTAGAAATTAAGCACCAATCGTTAGGGTATCGATAGAGCATTTTCAGCTAAACACAACTATTCTTAATGGAGTTAAATATACATATTTATGGACATTTTTTGAATCCGCAATTATTATGGTCGAGTTAGGATGTTTGCACTAGTGACTTAGGACGTTGTGCTTTTTCTGCCATGGCTGAGTGCAGGTACTCTATGGAAAGCTACAGCCTCCATAGAGGTGGCCATACAGCAGGGGAGGTGGGTATACAGGACATCAAGTGCTCCATACACAGGGACCCTGGAGTTGGCCAAGATGACTCCAGGGAGTGAGGAAAGAGGAAGGGTGAGAGGACACTCTCAACCCAAGTTCGCATTTATATTGGAATGGAAACATAATCAAAATACCAACTGGAATAATTTCTTAAGTCAAAATGGCTCTAAAATATAATTGGTAAGTAAATGTGTTTTTAAAAACAAAAATTTCCTAAGAAGAAAGAAGAGCTAGAAAAATTCTAATCCTACAAAATATTAGAACATAGTGTGATGTTTCAGTGCTTTAAAAAAAATAAAATTGGTACAAAACAGAAATGTAAATCTATGCAGTGGCATAGGAAGTCCAAAAAGAGGCCCTACTGCATTTCAAAAGATATGACAAAATGACCTTTAAGTACAAGGAGGTAAAATAGAGTAATTTAACAAGGGCATTAGGCTACTTGAATTGAGACTTAAAAAAAAAAAGATAAAACATTATACAACTCACAAGTAAATGAAAGTGTAAAAAAGAGTAAATTTAATTTTAGTAAAACAAGAAGAGAGCAGAAAATTGATCAAAGCTATGGATGAATGAAGTATAATTTCAGTAGTTTTGAAATTACAAAAGACATATTTCAAAGAAAATGAAAAGATATTTTAAGATATACAAACTGTCAAGTCTGAACAATAAAAATAAGAAAAAAAGAGGATAACTAACCAAAGAAATACTTGTCATGCACGTAATCACCAGGCCTCTAATGACACAATTGGAAAGAATTTGATGGGCAAGTTATATAAGGAAAAAATAGAGAAAAAAATTCATTCTTACACTAACTCCTTAAAATAGAAAACCAAATAAGCCCTAATACGTGTAGTCAGTTTGCAAGCACAGACCACACTGAGTCAAGGACAATACGACACTGGATGCATCAACTGGCTTTACAGGAACTGCGGGTCCCTTCTGATCAGACGCCAGCCAACAGATGGAACGAAACTAAAAAGAGTTAGTAATTTGAGTTCCCTTTGGGCTTAGCCATATTACTACTTAGAATCTGGGATTTTTTGTTTGTTGGTTTTGTTTTGTTGTTGGTAGGTTTTGTTTGTTTGTTTGTTTGTTTGTTTCATTTCCTTTTGTTTTGTTTGAGGTGAGGTCTCACTGTGTCACCCAGGCTGGAGAGCTGTAGGGGGATTGTGACTAACCACAACCTAGAACTCCTGGGCTGAAGCGATCCTCCTGCCTCAGCCTCCCTAGTAACTGGGACTACAAGCATGTGCCACCACACCTGGCTTAGAATTTATTAAGAGATGTCCAGCATCGGCCACGCATGGTGGCTCACGCCTGTAATCCCAACACTTTGGGAGGCCGAGGCAGATGGATCACCTGAGGTCAGGAGTTCGAGACCAGCCTGGCCAACAGGGTGAAACCCCATCTCTACTAAAAATACAAAAAAAAAAATTAGCCAGGCATGATGGGTGGCACCTGTAATCCCAGCTACTTAGGAGGCTGAGGCAGGAGAGTTGTTTGAACCCAGGAGGCGGAGGCTGCAGTAAGCTGAGATCACGCCATTGCACTCCAGCCTGGGTGACAAGAGAAAAACTCCATCTCAAAAAAAACAAAAGATATCCAGCATCAATATGATGTGATGTATCAAGAGTAGTATGTTAGGATAATTGAGTTACCACTAGAAACAAGGAAACCCCACAACAGAAGTGGTAAGGGCAGTGCCTAACCCCACCTGGAATTTGGGACTCACACCACCCATGCCAGTGTGTGCTGTGGACATGGAGTTCAAGGCTCTGCTGGAGACAGCACCAAGGCTGTCCTGTGGTAATGCCCCCAGTAGTTCCTGACAGTCCCTAGCATGTGCAAAAGTGTTTCCTAATTCTTATAGTTTGGTGGCATTTGTTCCTAGTTCACCCACACCAGTCTTCATCAGATAAATTCAGAGTGCTGTATTGGTGTTGTTTACTCCAGGAACCTGTCCAGGAGTGCCATAGGCTCAGGCATCAGATAAAATCGAGTCTCAGCCTAGCTCTGCTGCTTCCCTCAAATGGGCCTGTGCGAGTTACCCACCCTTCCTGGCTCATTTTCTGTAGCTGTGAAATGGGAGTAAGAAGTTCTGTCACGCAGGAGTGTGGGAAATAGGACTGATGTCCTGGGCTCAGGTGCATGATGATTGTTGGCAGAGAGAAAGAGCATACTCTGACACCATCTGGCTCCGCTGATGTGACAAAATGAAGAAGGAGAGAGTGTGCTCTCAGGACCTGCCGGGATCACAGCACAGCACTATTTTAGCTTCCATTTGGGATCTTTCGTAGCAGGCCCTGTGAGCTGACACTCATCATTCTGACATCATTCTGAATGAGCTGACATCATTCTGTGGCTCCGGGACAGAGCACCGTGCCTCCTGGCTGCTTCCCTCTCATCCCTAAAGAATGGTTATTTTCCAAGTAGGTGGGCACAAGAACACACAGGTACAATTCTCCCAGGAGCTCCAACTTCAAACCTGGAGGATGACAGGTGCTGTCTGGCCGGGACAGCCCAGGAATCGGGTAGGACCAGGCAGAGGTACTACCCCTCAGGGGAACTCTCTGGCTTAGCTGACAGCAGGCAGTGGGGGAGGAAAACATCCCCGACAGGAATGAAGCAGAGAGAGGAGAGGACACTCACGAAGAGCTGACCTCGGGTAAGGTTTCCTTGAAAGGAGCCCCCCAGAGTTCCAAATCGAAAAAAGAAATGTGCTTTTCACGAGGACCAGTTCCCCAATAAATAGCCGCGGCCTCCAATACAATCTCATAAAAATAACACTTGAGGCTGCCTTTGCCTCTGGTCTCTCACATTATTGTTACTGTGACTGTTTTGTTGTTGTTTGTTGTTTTTAAAACCTTTCCTGTAATTGAAAAACCCAGGCCTATCTGGGCCAAAGTAAATAACTCTACCAGGGAACTCTAGGCTTCCCAAGGAGACCTGCATTCACAAGTAAGAAGGAAAAGCCTCTTGGGAAAGTAAGTCTTTGTTTTTATTATTATTATTATTATTATTATTATTATTATTATTATTATTATTAGTTTTTGTTTTGCACAGAAGCCACGTAAATCCACCATCCTAAATAAAATCTCCCAGACCTAGCTTTTTGATGATCTTGTAATTTTCTCTGCAATATGCTGGTAACAATTTCAGCAAAAGAGCAACCTAGAGAGAATTATTTTCTCTTTTCAGCCTGACAGTCGAATTGGTAAATGAGAAACTGGATGGCTTGTCTTTGAAATCCAGTCAGTTTTCCATACCTTTAGAAGACTGGATAATCTCACATTCTTTTTTTTTTCATTTTATTTTATTTTATTTTATTTTACTTTTTTTTATTTTTTTGAGATAGAGTCTCGCTCTTCACCCAGGCTGGAGTGCAATGGTGCGAGCTCGGCTCACTGCAGCCTCTGCCTCCTAGATTCAAGTGATTCTCCTGCCTTAGCCTCCTCGGTAGCTGGGATTACAGGCACATGCCACCATGCCAGGCTATTTTTTGTATTTTTAGTAGAGATGGGGTTTCACCATGTTGGCCAAGCTGGTCTCAAACTCCTGACTTCAGGTGATCCGCCCTCCTCGGCTTCCCAAAGTGCTGGGATTACAGGTGTGAGCCACCATGCCCGGCCACTATTCTCACATTCTTAAACTCAGGCAATGATGCAGGACAAAAGAGATGCTCACCGCACAGCCAGACTCTTAAAGAAACACTGAGATGCTTTCACTGCAAGTGTTCCCTCACTGCCCTTCAAAGCATTTCCCTCACTGCCCTTCAAAATTGTTTTTTTAATATATATTTGGTTGTCTATTTAATCACTAGTGCTTTGAGAGAGGGTGTAGGAGGAAAATAAAGCTAAAATTAAAGGTTTAGAAGCAAATTCAGATCAATTGAAATTAAAGAAAAGGCACTGCTGATACCATGATTGTGAATTAGGAAAAACCAACCAACCCCAAACAGCTTAGCAGAGGCCAGCCCATGCTAAAAAAAATACAAAGGGAGGTTTGCTTTTATTAATTCGGTTTCTGAACTGCTTTTCCTAGATCACTGCTCTTAGCAAACCTGAGACACACTCAAATGGCCCTCAGTGGCCTGGCAGTGGCTGAGGCAGTTTCCTCCCAGGGTTCAGCCTAAGGCGAGTCCTGAAGGCCAGGGAAGCCCAGGCCAAGCCCCAAGATCCCACAGGCTCCCGATTTAATGACAAGTAGGAAGATTATCAACTTTATCTTCTCATCTAGCCAAACAGAAGTTGAATTACTCTACATTTTATTAAAGAGCCCTTGGTGGGAGCTTCGAGTTATCAGGAGTTCCATCTCACCTGCACTACTGTATGACTGCAGCCAGAGAGGGAGAAGCCATCATGTCAGTCATCCGTGTGGCCTAATCGCAAGAAATGTGTCACCTCCGTGTAAGTGCTGGAAACGAGAATAGTTCAAGGGCTCCTACACCACCTGAGAACCCTCTCGCCTCTCACTGCCAATCTTGTCCCGCAGTGCTGGAGTCTGCAGCTGAGCGGGTTTGTGTATGGAGCGCCCCTGGGTGTGGGCCGCTGCTGAGAAGTGGAGCAGAAAGTGCACTGGCTCGCAGGTGGCTGCTCAGCAGCACCCCAGCCCCACTACTGACCCGCAGCCAGTGAGGATGCCCTGACCCCAAGGACCTCTAGCCATAGGAGCAGTTCAAGAGTAGTTAGTTCAAGACTTTTTCCAACCTGACTATGAGAGAGATCAGGCACCTCACCTTTTACCTTCTGGCATCTGCTGATTCCCTTAGTAAATCCTTACAGCAAATTTGACAACAAATAGTTGATGAGCTATAACATGTAACTATGCAAAACCAGCAAAAATCCAACCTCTAAAACAATGTCCAAAAGAAATAAGACATACTTTACTTCTGAGGCTTGATATCTGTAAATTTTTTTTCAATTTCAGAAAAATACAGAAATTGTAGCTAGCAGGATTAGTGTTTGCAAAATAAAATTATTCTTTGTAACACCAAGTTCAGTTTTTAGCACCTGATTTCAGTAATAGACAAAATAAACAACAGTAACAGACAAAAATCTCAAAGAAATGAGATTATTTTGTTTTAGAAAAGAAACACACACACATATACACACAAAAGCTCTGAGGTTTGAAGTAGTTGAAACTTGAGAACATGTTTCTTTACATCTTAAAAGAAAGTAGTTGAAACTTAAGAATATGTTTCTTTACATCTTAAAGGAAAAAAAGTGATTTCCAAGGTAGTTATCTTGGAAAGCTCCCTACCTAGCCCCAGGGTAGATCTCTAGGAGGTAGATAGGCAGAGGCAGAGCCCAGCAGGGATTCAGCCTGGGTTTGGGTGAGCTGACTCAGGTCTTTCTAATGCTGGTGGAGGGATGGCATTTGAACTCAGACAGTCTAATAGGCTTCTCCCTATTCCCCAACAAGCCAGGTCAGAGGATGAGCCCTGGCATAACACCATAATTCTTATTCATGACTAAAAGAAAGTATGCATTTTATCACTGTGGCCTTTTAAATCAAGAATGCGGTGCTTTATGTATGGTAGACATCTGGATATCTGTCGCTGGGTTCTGGGATGTGGTTTCCATGGGCAGAAGGATGTTCCTAGTAAAACTGTGGCCAGTGTAGTTTTGTTGTTTCCATTATCCTCTTCCAGCCCATGGTTGGGAGAGAACCATGAGTTTTTTAAAACATTGATGTCCTCGTATTAAACTATGCTTCAACCCTCCTCCACTAGCCCAAGTCTTCAGTAAAATTGGCCAGCTCAACCCAAAAAGCTGGTATCACTTACAGGATATCAGCTTTCATTAATGGAGTAAGGGATCAGAGTCCTGTCCAGTTGGGCGGGGAAGGAAAGGACTGAGTAGCAGTCACAGGAGGCAAGATTCAGAACAGAGATCCAAGGTGTCAACAGATGTAGGATCCTGGAGACAACAACCACCCTGTGAATGGTCACTGCTCCATGATTTGAAGGATAGATTAGGGGAAGTGTACCATCCACAGTACACAGGCTACAGGCTCAGCTGCTCTGTTCAATATTAAAACATGGGAGAACCCAAACAGACTGCAAAACTAAGAGCTATCCAAGGAGCTTACAGTTGGCTTACATGATTTTCTTGTTGTTGTTGTTGTTGTTGTTGTTGTTATTAATTCTTTAAAATAAGAAGTAGCTGGTGAAGGTAGGGAGAGGGAGAGAATAGGGATAGATTTATTAAAGGATACAAAATTACAGCTAGATAGGAGGAATGAGTTCCAGTGCTCTATATGACTATAGGATGACTATATAATAACAATGATATATCACATAGGTCCACCGCAGTGGCTCACGCCTGTAATCCCACCACTTGGGGAGGCCAAGGCGGGTGGCTCCCCTGAGGTCAGGAGTTCTAGGCAAGCCTGGCCAACATGGTGAAACTCCATCTCTACTAAAAATACAAAAATTTGCTGGGCATGGTGGCACTCGCCTGTAATCCCAGCTATTCAGGATGCTGAGGCAGGAGAATCGCTTGAACCCAGGAGGCAGAGGTTGCAGTGAGCCGAGATCACACCATTGCACTCCAGCCTGGGTGACATGAGCAAAACTCCATATGAAATAATAATAATAATATATCATATAGCTTCAAATTGCTACAAGGAGAATATTGAATGTCCCCAACACAAAGAAATAATAAACATTTGACATAACAGTTATACTCATTACCCTGATCTGATCACCATACATTATTTGTATTGAAACATCACTATGTACCCTATGAATATGTGCAATTATTATCTGTCAATTTAAAAAAATTAAAATTAAAAGAAATAAAAATAAAATAAGTAATTAATTAGACTGATTTACAGTTAGAATAAAATGTAGAAATTAATAGAAATTCATGTGGAAAAGCATGGCTCAAAGCCACTGAATATTTGCCAATGTTGATGGCATTGCACTGGAACTATCCATGGGGTCACCCGTGAGACATTGTCAACTGATCTCCACCTGCCCAAAAGCAATGTTTCCTTACCTTGACCCAGAAACTTCTCCAGGAAACTTATTCAAGAGAAATGATCCAGGAGAAGGTGTGTCCTTCATGCATAATGATGTTATTCATAACAATAAGAGCTGGAAAGAACCTTAATCCTCAACATAAGGAAATGGTCAAATAATTATGTGTATACAACTGATGAACTGTTATTCAATAAAACCATTAAATAAGAAGACCATACAGTAACTTTTAAAATGTTAGGCTTCAATATAAAGTGGGAAAAAAGCTATGACTTTAATTACGTAAAAATATTTCATTATGTATGCCTAAGGATAAGAAAAGACCACAAAAGTTAATTAGGATAATAAAATTTTAGATGACTTTAAAATGTTTATCTTTTGTTTTAGTACTGTTTTTACAATAAATAAAAATCAAGAGGAAAAAATAAATGGTATTAAAATAATGGTAAGAAACTACTTTTTCCAAGAATAGTAGAATTTTAACAATCTATAGAGTTAGGTATTAAGATAAGTATGATGGGTACTATTTATCCATTATTCTATTTTTTTAAATTTTTGTTTGAATCTATAATAAGATGTTTTTTGAAGAAACTATAATCATGAAATATATGAAAGATTTTTTAAAAGTAAATGTAAAAGCATATACTGATTTGCTCTTTATGAATGATACAAATTACTAAATTATCACATGTATGCTGACACTATGTACATCTATTATGCATCAATTTAAAAAAAAAGCTAAAAAAAACAGTAAATGTAAAAACAGACAAGCTTCCTTCCTACAACAAATAGTTCCTGGCTTTACTCACTAAATAAACATGTATTTGAGGCCATTTATTCACTCAGGCAGTTTGGTTATTCCACAGTTCATGCCAACACCTCACTTTCATAGTTCAAAAACAAAGAATCTACAGATTATCATTGGAGAATGGGAGAATGCTGTGAAAAATAGGTCAGTTTAAAGACATTCACCCAGAGGGGCCTGCCCTCAATATTTCCACTGTAATAACATTAAGATATGTAAACATATTCACATTTTATCCCCCTGGAGTTCTGTTCTAACCCAACTGTGCAAGCCATGAACTGAGAGTTACCCTGTGCCTCCTCTCCTCACAGCCCACGGTTCATGTCCACAGATGTCTGAGGCCACCCATTTCTACCAAATAAGAAAACAGCTCCCACTCCTATACCAGGTACTGTTGCAAGCACATTACATGTACAAACTCATTTAATACTTACAAACAATTTCATTTTACAGAGAAGAAAACTAAGTTAAGAAATTGCCTGAAAAAGTAAACTAGTAAGTGACAGAGCTGGGATGTGAACCCAGTCAGGCAGCTCCAAATTCTATGCATGGAACCACTTGTGTTGTTTCTACTCTGTTGCTATTCTAGGCATTGCTATAATGAACAACCTTGTACAAATATCACTTCCCATTTGTGCAGGGACATCTATAGGATATATCCCAAGAGGTGGTTTCATTAAATATTTAATTGCATTTTTCATTGCTTTTCTGTGAACAGACTATAGCTCTTTGTGGGCCAGGAACTCACTTTTCTTGTTCACCCACTATCTGGCACATAACAGAGATGCATAAATGCTTTATTCCTTCCTTCTTTTACTTATTCAACAAATATTTACTGAACATCCATTGTGTGCCAGGCACTGTTCTGGGTGCTGGAGAATACATTGATGAACCAATTGGGGAAAATGTCCTGCTCTCATGCATGTAACATACTAATGTAGGATCCAGAGGCAATCGGCAAATAAGAAAATCTGTGGTGTGTTACAAGATGATAAATACTAAAGAAAAATAAGTCAAAGAAAAGTGGGATGCAGGAGTTACCACTTTAAATAAACAGTTATCAAACAAATAAAACCTTCTGATGAGGATGTTTGCCTTAGCAGCAAAAGTAATTGTGAAAATTTTTTAAAACTCAAGTATCCATTAAGGAGGAGTAGGCAGTCTGGCTACCTCGGTCACTGAACTGTTTTGAGGTAGATATGCATAAAGCAGAAAGAGCAGTGCCTGGGAACCAACTTCCACCCATAACACTCTTTCATGGGAAAATAGGCTAATTCCCTAAAACAAACTTACATGTCAATGAAATACACTGTTTATAAATGTAAAACTACCTACACAGACACGAACACACTAACAATCAATGAAGACTGTCTCACTCCTTTATTCCTGAACTTAAAACTTTTTTTTTTTTTTTTTTTTTTTTTTTTTTTTTTTTTTGAGACGGAGTCTCGCTCTGTCGCCCAGGCTGGAGTGCAGTGGCGCGATCTCGGCTCACTGCAAGCTCCGCCTCCCGGGTTCACGCCATTCTCCTGCCTCAGCCTCCCGCGTAGCTGGGACTACAGACGTCCGCCACCACACCCGGCTAATTTTTTTGTGTTTTTTTAGTAGAGACGGGGTTTCACTGTGTTAGCCAGGATGGTCTCGATCTCCTGACCTCGTGATCCGCCCGCCTCGGCCTCCCAAAGTGCTGGGATTACAGGCGTGAGCCACCGCGCCCGGCCAACTTAAAACTTTTGTACAAACTTTCAACTGAAATTATTTTGATCCTAAAGATCACATAAAAAAGAAAACATCTCCTTTAACTTGTATTTTATTTCAAGACAGAGAGATAGAATATTCTGGCTCGGAGGATTCAGCAAAATGTAATTCAATGTCAATTACTGAATCTCTTCAAACCAAAGCATTTGTCAGCAGAAAATTCCCATAGGTTAACTGTAGACCTTAAAATCAGAAACGATGCAGGTAAATTACTGCACATCTACTTCTCCTGAAAATGACATTTATAGGTATTAATGTTTATATAGTGGCATCAGGAATAAAGTTAGTCATAATAACAAGCAATTGATTTCTATTTCACAAAAACGTACACTTACAGGATATTTGCATAAGTATTCACACAAGTTTCATTTGAACAATTCCAATCTCCTTAGGAAAACCTTGCTAATGTAATTTGAATACAGTTCTAAATAGATGTGAATTAACACTAAAGATGGTGACCCTACAGAATAACAGAGTGGATGTGTCATACCCTGCTCTGGTGAGGCACACTGTGCAGTCTTGTGCTTCGGAGTCAGTACCTGTAGCATTCTGCTTATGCATTAAATGCAGCAAATGCTTTGTTCCTTAAACCTGAGAATTCACTGTTCAGTTTTTACAACGAATGCTTAGAACACAAATTATAGTTCAATTCCACCTGCTTTTTTGTTTGTTTGTTTTTAGAATTTTTCTAAATTTGCCCTTTTCTGATAAATTCTTCAGCCTTGATTTCATCCTGGTCATTAAAGTGTTCAGCTACTTTGGCCCTTGGGACGGGTTTTGATTTAAAATAATCCAACCTCCCCAAATTCCCTGCAGCATGAGTGTTTTTACCTGCCAGGAGGCAGAGGCAGGCAGGAAAGAATAGACCCTGATCTTGCTCCAGACCTCACTGGAACCCTATGGAAAACCAAGGCAAGCACTCACCGGGTTCCTGAGTCTGCAGAGCCAATTCTTCCACAGCAGGGCTTTGAACTGGCACCCGGCATGCCCCATGCCTGCTGCTCCCTGCTCTCAGTCAGGAAGCCAGCCTGTAAGGATGGTGCTTATATCTGCTGGGCTCAAGTGAAGGCATGTTGCCTATTAGTCAATTCTAACAAAAGTGAGTGATGCAAGAGAGATTACTGGTGACTGAATAAAACAGGCATCAGATGTCCCCTCTTGTTCGGCATCTGCTGAGAAATCTTTTCACTAGCTGTTCAGTGTTTCAGGAGGGTTGAATTACAGAAAGCTGCCTTCAGGGACTTTCTCGGGCATACACACATACACAGAGAGGGTGCCCTCCCTTTCCGAGAACCCACAGAACTGATCTGTGCGACAAGAAGTAATGCCCACATTTACCATTTACCTCCCTTTTTTTCTGGATATTAATTAGATGGAATTTTCCTTTTTTCTTCTGAAGCATTGGTTATTACACAAATTTGCCAAAATATTTCAATTTTGGTGGTCCCATGGCAGAGAGTTTGAAGGGAAGGAGATGGAAGCAGTGTTGGTGTCTGGGGGAGTTTGGGGAATGGGTGACTCAAGTTCCACTCTGCTACTGCACCTGCACTTCATACTTCTCCTTCACCCATTTCCTCCAAAGGGATCAGGATCTACGTTTCAAATGGTATCGGGTGCAGATGTGGCAGGACTCAGCAAGTGGCCTGTGGATTACCTCTGAGTCCTGTTTGATTCCTGAACACTTGCACTTTCTAAGTGGCATGATGGATTCAGCTTGCCAGCTGGTGGCTCCATCGTCTTGGAAGCCAGGCCCTCTTGAGTTCCTGTTGCCCCCAGTTGTGGTCAGAAGGATTTCAGGCAACCCAGTCTTGTGGTCTTCTATTTCATAAAGCAATTTTCACAAGCTGTGAATGCTTGATAAATGGCTTTTGCAATAGGAAACAGGGAACACAGGCTTCAGCAAAGAAACTGACTCAATTATTTTGTAAACTTATTTGTTTAGAGCATGCCTATTTTATTTTATTTTTTGTTACATGGCTGGCAGCACTAGAGTGAAGGCCATTACTTAGCAGGATGGCGCCCAGCAACCATAAGTGGATTTGCCTGATCCCCATATGATGTTCCCCCTTGACCTGTGACTTCTCAAAGGTCTTTGGGGTTGCCTAAGTATTGCTACTCTGGTTCTCTTTGCAGATAACATCTAGAACACCTTACAAGTAATTGTCATAATTTTTAAAAATCTAGTATAAGAAAAAGCCTCCAACCATAAGGTTTTTCTCATGTTATGTTCATAGCAGCCAGTTTTTATGCTGCTATGCCAGAATTATGTCAGAGACACAAAAATTATCTCATCCATTGCTTTCATGGAACAATGCTGTGTTAGGATTTTCAGATAAACAGAACCAATGGGTGATTCATTGATCGATTGATTGATTGATTATAAGGAATAGGCTCACACAGTCATGGAGGTGGGCAAGTCCTAAGATCTGCAAGGTGAATTAGCAAGTCAGAGACCCAAGGAAGCCAATGATATAGTTCCAGTCCGAGTCCAAAGACCTGAGAACAGGAGAGCCAATGGTGTAGTTGCCATCCAAAGACTGGGAAACTTGAGACCCAGGACAAGCTGGTATTTCCATAAAGTCTGAAGGCAGAAAACAAAAAAAAGCCAATGTCCCAGTATGAAGGCCATCAGACAGAAATAATTATCTAACTTAGGGGAAAGTCAGACTTTTTGTTCTGTTTAGGTCTTCAACTAATTGGATGAGACCCACTCACACTAGGGAGGGCCATCTGCTGAATTCAGTCTACCTACTTAAATATTAATGTCATTTATAAACACCCTTGCAGAAACTCCCAGAATAATGCTATCTTTTGTTCCGTGTTTCAGCCAAGAAAACAAACAAGCAATTAGAGCCCTTCCTAACTCCATGAGCTGCCATATTAAATGCAGAATAACTGCTTAGTGACCCCATATTAGCAAATTTGGCCTGATACAATTTTATGTTCCTTCCATCATTATCCCATACCCTTATATCCATTTCCACACATATTCCCCAGATTTCTGCTTGTATACATTAGAAAACTCAAATTGTCCATTTGATGTATAGCACACTTCCTCATGGTTTATACCTTATATCTCCCCTTTGGGTGCTGCTGGGACTTGAATCTAGTTATAGGTCTGAAATGAACGAGGAATGGTGGGAGTGGGTTCTGAGGAGAAGCAGAAGCGCCTTGCATGGCAACTGCCTCATGGTAGGACATTATAGTTTTCTTAGGCAAGGCAGGGTTGATCCCCTCAGACATGGGGTAAGAGACTACTTCCACTAGGACTGGGGAAAATGCCTCCACTTGAGTGTGGAGATCTCTTCCACATAACAAAGAAGACGTTATTTAGGGGCTCAGTGTCTCCAGCTTCATCAGGGTCTTCCCACATATCTCCATTCCAACTTTCAGCACCGCATTCCCTCCAAATCAATGCCTTTACTTTAATAGTAGACACCCTACAAGACTAGCAGTCAAATTGCATTGTAATTCAGTCAGTTGCAAGATGAGATTCTGGTTTGATTTTCTGCAATCTCAGCCCTGCAACTACAGGAAATAAGGGTCTCTTTCGGGGACACACTTAGAAACTTTCAGGTCATTTATGCAGCACTTCAGCTGGGAATTTGACCCCTGAGGTCATCCTTTTCTTTTTCCACTTTGTCCACCAACACTAGAAGCAACCAGTCAACCTCATTTTACTCATGAGTTTGACAAAAATGTTGGAAAGTATCAAATACAAGATCATCCAGACCCTTGCTTCTTCTAAGTGTTTGATTAGAAGCATCTAGTGGTGATATTTTGTGCATCTCTACTGCCACATCATGTCATGGACCACCAATTTTCTCTTTATTAGAAATAGAGTCAATAGTCTTTAAATCTAATCAGATTAGAGATTCAATCCCAGAAACCTCAGAACCTATTTAAGTTTATCCTTAAGATTCTCTTCCTCCAGAATTATTCTTAGTACCAAAATACGTATTAGGGTTCTCCAGAGAAACAGAATCATATGCATATTTATATATCTAAAGAAATTTACCATAAGGAAGTGGCATAAGCAGTTATGGAGCTGGGCAAGTCCCAAGATCTGCAGGTGAGTCAGCAACTTGGTGATAATGGTGTAGCAAGTTGGAGAGACAATGGTGTAGCTCTAGTCAGAGTCTAAAAGCCTGAGAACCAAGAAAGCAATCGGTGCCATCTAAAGGCCAGCATATTTAATAACCCCAAAGAGCCAAGGCTTCAATTCAAGTCTGAAGGCAGAAAAAAAGCTGAGGTCTCAATTTAAAGGTCATCAGGCAGGAAAAATTCTCTTACTTGGGGAGGATCAGCCTTTTTGTTCTATTCAGGCCTTCAGCTGATTGGATGATGCCAACCTACATTAGGGAGGGCAGTCTGCTATATTCAGTCTACAAATTCAAATATTAATCTCATCCAAAACACACTGACAGATACACCCAGAATAATATTTGACCATATATTTAGAAATCCTGTGGCCCCATCAAGTTGACACATAAAATTCATCATCAGAAATGCTATGAGTTTGGTATTTACATTTTTTTAAATTCTAGTTTGTGCTTTAGTTACATAAATTTAGTTGTAGGGAGATGATAGCATTTTTGTTTCATTTTGTTTTGTTTCTTTCCTGTTCTTTTTAAAAAATAATGTCCATTTTTATTTTAGATTCAGGAGTTACACATGCGGAATTGCTCTCTGGGTGTATTACACGATGCTGAGATTTGGGGTATGATTTATCTCAACCAGGTACTCTTCATAGTACCTAATAGTTAAGTTTTCCAGCCTTTGCTCCCTCTCTCCCTCCCCCTCTAGTAGCACCAGTTTCTATTGTTGCCATCTTTATGCCTATAAGTACCCAATGGTTAGCTCCCACTTAGAGGTGAGAACATGCAGTATTTAGTTTTCTCTTCTTGCACAAATTTGTTTAGGATAATAGCCTTCGACTATATCCATGTTTCTGTGAAAGACATGATTTTATTCTTTTTTATGGCTGTGTACTATTCCGTGGTGTATGTGTGCTACATTTTCTTTTTCTGTTCCACCATTGATGGGGATCTTTGTTTATTCCATGTCTTGCTGTTGTGAATAGTGCTGCAATGAACATACAAGTGTGTGTTTTTTGATAGAACATTTATTTTCTTTTGGATGAATACCTAGTAATAAGATTGCTGGATTGAATGATAGTTCTGTTTTCAGTTATTTGAGAAACCTCCAAACTGCTTTCTACAGTAGCTGAACTAATTTACATTCCCACCAACAAACTAAGTGTTCCCTTTTCTCCAAGCCTGGCCAGCATCTGTTGTTTTTTGACTTTTTAATAATAGCCATTTTGACTGATGTGAGTTGATATCTCATTGTGGTTTTGATTTGCATCACTCTAATGGTTAGTGATGAGGAGCACTTTTTAATATGTTTATTGACCATTTGTATGTCTCCTTTTGAGCAGGGTTTGTTCATGTTTTGCCCACTTTACAATTTTTTTTTCTCTTTCAATTGTTTAAGTTCCTTATAGATTCTCCATATTAGATCTTTACCAGATGCGTAGTTTGCAAATATTTTCTCCCATTCTGTATGGTGCGTCTTTATTCTGTTGATAGTTTCTTTTGCTGTGCAAAATATTTTTTGTCTAATTAAGTCCCACTTGTCAATTTTTTTTTTTTTGGTTGCAGTCTCTTTTGAGGACTTAGTCATAAATTCTTTCTGAAGGCCAATGTCCAGAATGGGGTTTCCTAGGTTTTCTTCTGGGATTATTATAGTTTGAGGTCTTACATTTAAATCTTTAATCTATCTTGAGTTAGTTTTTGTATATGGTGAAATGTGGAGGTCCAGTTATTTTCTTTGGTGTATGGCTAGGCAGGTATTGCAGGTGTATTCCAGCAGCATTTATTAATAGGGAGTCCTTTCCTCATTGCTTATTTTTGTTGACTTTGTCACAGATCAGATGGCTGTAGGTGTGCAGCTTTATTTCTGGTTCTCTATTTTGTTTCATTGGTCTATGGGTCTGTTTTCATACCAGTACCATGCTGTTTGGTTAGTATACACATGCAGTATAGTTTAAAGTGGGGTAATGTGATGCCTCCAGCTTTGTTTTGCTTAGGATTGCTTTGTCTATTCGGGCTCTTCTTTGATTATATATGAATTTTATAATAGTTTTTTTCTAATTTAGTAAAAAATGACATTGGTAGTTTGATAGGCATAGCACTGAATCTATAGATTTCTTTGGGGAGTGTGGCCATTTTAAACAATATTGATTCTTCCAATTCATGAACATGGAATGTTTTTTCATTTGTTTGTGTCATCTATAATTTCTTTTAGCAGTGTTTTGTAGTTCTCCTTGTAGAGATCTTTCACCTTTGGGTTGGGAGTATTTCTAGTTATTTTGGGTTTTGTGGCTATTGTAAATGAGATTGTATACTTGATTTGGATCTTAGCTTGAATATTATTTGTGTATGGAAATGCTACTGATTTTTTTACATTGATTTTGTATCCTGAAACTTTATTGAAGTTATTAGTAGAAGTAGCCTTTGGAGTTTTCTAGGTATAGAATCATATCAATCATCAACAAAGAGAGATAATTTGGCTTATTTTTTTTCCTATTTGGATACGTTTTATTTCATTCTCTTTCCTGATTGCTCTGGCTAAGACTTCCAGTACTATATTGAATAGCTTTAGTGAGAGTGGGCATCCTTGTTTCACTTCACTTTTTAAGAGGAAAGCTTCCAGCTTTTGCTCATTCAGTATGTTGGCTGTGGGTTTGTAATAGATGGCTCTTATTATTTTGAGATATGTTCATTTGATGCCTAGTTTTTTGAGGGTTTTTATCATAAAGGGATGTTGTATTGCATCAAAAGTTTTTTCTTCATCTACTGAGTTAATCATATACTTTGTTTTTTATTCTGTTTATGTAGTGAATTGCATTTGTTGACTTACATATGTTGAATCATCCTTGCACCCCAGGAATAATCCCTACTTGATTGTGGTGAATTAACTTTTTGCTGTGCTGCTGGATTTGATTTGCTAGTATTTTGTTGACGATTTTTGCATTTGTATTGATTAGAGATATTGACCTGAACTTTCCTTTTATCATTGTGTCTTTTCCAGATTTGGGTATCAGAATGATGCTGACTTTGCAGAATGAGTTAAGGAAGAATCCTTCCTCTGTGATTTTTGGAATAGTTTCAGCAGAACTGGTATCAGCTCTTCTTTGTAGGCCTGGCAGAATTCAGCTGCGAATCCATCTGGTCCAGGGGTTTTTTTTGTTTGTGTTTGATTAGTTGGTTTTTTATTACTAATTCAATTTTGGAACTCATTCTTGCTGTTGGTCTGTTTAGGGTTTCTATTTCTTCCTGATTCAATCTTGAGAGGTTATGTGTTCCCAGGAATTTATCCATTTTTTCTAGAATTTCTAGTTTGTGTGCATAGAGGTGTTCATAATATTCTCTGAGGGTCTTTTGTATGTCTGTAGGATTGGTTGCAGTGTCATTTCTGATTCTGCTTATTTAGATCTCTCTTCTCTTCTTTTGTTAATCTAGCTAGCAGTCTATCAATCTTGTTTATCCTTTCAAATTACCAACTTTTTATTTCATTGATCCTTCATGTGGATTTAGGGTCTCAATTTCAATGGGTTTTACTCTGATTTCAGTTTTTTATTTTCTACTGCTAGCTTTGAAGTTTGCTTTCGTTTTTCTAGTTTCTCTAAGAACAATGTTCAGTTGTTAATTTCAGATCTTTCTAACTTCTTGATGTAGGCATTTAGCACTATAAACTTTCCTCTTAACACTGCTTTTGCTACATCCCAGGCAAATGTTGTGTCTGTTTTCATTTATTTCAAAGAATTTTTTTTAATTTCTGCCTTAATTTCATTGTTTACCAGAAGTCATTCAGGAACAAGTTGTTTAATTTCAATGTAATCATGTGGTTTAGAGCAAGGGTCTCCAACTTCCCCCAACTCCAGGTCACGAAGCAGGAGGTGAGCAGCAGGCAAGTAAGCATTACCACCTGAGTTCTGCCTCCTGTCAAATCAGTAGCAGCATTAGAGCCTCGCAGGAGTGTGAACCCTATTGTGAACTGCACATGTGAGGGATCTAGGTGGCATACTCCTTATGAGAATCTAATGCCTGATGATCTGAGGTGGGACAGTTTCATCCCAAAAATATCCCCACTTCCCCCAGTCTGTGGAAAAGTTGTCTTGCATAAAACCAGTCCCTGATGCCAAAAAGGTTGGGTACCTCTGGTTTAGAGATTTTCTTGGTATTGATTTCTATTTTTATTCCACTATAGTCCAGGAATATGCTTGGTTTGATTTCCATTTTTTTAAATTTATTGATATTTGCTTTATGACGTAGCATGTGGTCAATTTTAGAGTATGTTCCATGTATAGATGAGAAGATTGTATATTCTCTAGCTGTTGGGTGCTGTATTCTATCAATGTCTATTAGGTCCAATTTGTCAAGCATCAAGTTTAAGTCCAGAATTTCCTTGTTAGTTTTCTCCCTCAATGATCTAATGTTGTCAGGGGGGTGCTGATGTCTGCAACTATTGCAGTGTATTTTTCTAAGTTTTTTCCTAGATCTAGAAGTACTTGTTTTATGAATCTGGGTACTCCAGTGTTGAGTGTACATATATTTAGGATAGGTAAGTCTTCACATGAAATTCAACTTTTTATCATAATGTAATGCCCTTCATTGTCCTTTTTTACTGTTGTTGGTTTAAAGTCTGTTTTATCTGTTATAAGGATAGCAACCCCTGCTCTTTATTGTTTTCTGTTTGTGTGATAGATCTTTCTCCAACCCTTTACTTGGAACCTATGTGTGTCATTACATATGAGATGCGTCTCTTGAAGGCAACAGATGGTTGGGTCTTGTTTTTTATCCAAGTTGCCAATCTGTGTCTTTTAAGTGGGGTGTTAGACTATTTGCATTCAAAGTTAATATTGATATGTGAGGTTTTGATCCTGTTGTAAAGTTGGTCACTGGTTGCTTTGTGGTCTTGACTGTGTAGTTGCTTTATAGAGCCTGTGGGCTATGTACTTAAGTGTGTTTCTGTGGTATTGAGAGGTGAAGCCAGCTGGGCTTCTTGGTTGGGTGGGGACTTGGAGAACTTTTCTTTCTGTCTTACAAGAGGATTGTAAAATGCACCAATCAGCGCTCTGTAGCTAGGATTGTAAAATGCACTAATCAGCACTCTGGCTAGCTGGAGGTTTGTAAAATGCACCAATCAGTGCTCTGTAAAAACGCACCAATCAGTGCTCTGTGGCTAGCTAGAGGTTTGTAAAATGGACCCATCAGCACTCTGTAAAATGGACCAATCAGCACTCTGTAAAATGGACCAATCAGCAGGACATGGGCTGGGACAAATAAGGGAATAAAAGCTGGCCACCCCAGCCAGAAGCGGCAACCTGCTGCGGTCCCCTTCCATGCTGTGGAAGCTTTGTTCTTTCGCTCTTCACAGTAAATCTTGCTGTTGCTCAATCTTTGGGTCCATGCCACCTTTAAGAGCTGTAACACTCACCGCAAAGGTCCACAGCTTCATTTTTGAAGTCAGCAAGACCAAGAACTCACTGAAAGGAACCAACTCCATAGTATTAGGTATCATTCTTTGAGTTCTATGTTTAGAACTCCCTTAAGGACCTCATGTAAGGCTGGTCTAGTGGCAATGAATTCCCTTAGCAATTGCTTGTCTAGAAAAGATTTTATTTCTCCTTCACTTATTAAGCTTACTTTGGCAGTGTGGTGTTATGATATACATTGGTTTTTGTCCACAGTTCCTGGATCATAACTCCCATAGCCCTTGTTACAGTCTTTTCTCATAATGTTGGGTGTGTTAGGCCTCAGGGACAGGCCTCTTACTTTCTCCTGCCCTCCTTTTACTCTAATGTTCCCCTGTCTTTCTGACTGTGGATCTTAAGACCCTCCCATGAGAAGGTCCCATACTATACACTGGGGGAATGAATGCTGATTTCTTGAAGCTTCCATAAAAACCCAAGAGGAAGAGGTTCAGTGAGCTTCTGGACAGTTAGACAGTGGAGGTTCCTGGAGGGTGGCACCCAGGGAGGGCATGAAAGCTCCATGTCCCTTCCCCTATACCTTCCTCTATGTGTCTCTTTATCTGTATCCTTCGCAATATTCTTTATAATAAACCAGTAAACATAAGTGTTTCCCTGAATTCTGTGAGCCACTCCAGCAAATTAACTGAACCCAAAGAGAGGGTCATGGGAACCCCAACATAAAGCTGGTCAGTCAGAAGTTCCAGATGCCTGGACTTGCAACTGGTGTGTATAGAGGGGCAGTCTCAGAGACTGAGCCTTCAACCTGTGGGATCTGACACTATCTCTGAGTAGACAGTGTCAGAACTAAATTAAAGGACACTTAGCTGCTGTCTTCTCCTTGGTGTTTGGGAAAAAAAATACCCACACATTTGGTCACAGAAGTCTTCTGTGTTGATCACTAATGTGGTGTGAGAGTGGAGGGAACATGCAGTTTGAGAAAAGTTTTTCTCTACACAATTGGTGAGTGAAGTGGGATTTATTGGAATGGCACTGACTCATGGAAACATGTGGCTTGGGAAGAGAAAGGATAAAAGAGTGGGGGATGAGGAATATTTGATTCCTGGGTAGCCAGGTGGTCACCCATGTTATAAAGCCACAGCTATGTTGAGATCAATTACTAAAGGTGAAAGTTACCAATGGAATTTAGAGATGGATCCTACTCTCCAGGAATTGTTTCTTTGGATACATAAGGAAATGCAAACTAATAAGGAAAAAAAAAATATTCAATCTTTTGGTGACTGTTATCTATAATGGCTAAAATGAAAGTAAAAGAGGGTGCTGAGTCAGAACTTGAAGCTGGATCAAACTCAGATGTGGTCCATCTGAGCTCAGGATTCTAGCCTCAAAGTCAACAACAAAGGAAAATATTATGCAGGAACAACAGAAAGTACCTCTGAGACTTGTGGTTACCAAGAAAATAATCAATATGAAGGAAGGGCGAACCAACTAACTATTGAAACCAAATGGTATAGTGTGAAGGAATTGTTCCATTTTGTAGATCAGTAATATCAGCTTCCTGAGACATCTTTACTAAAATGGATTACAAGAGTGACCAATTTAGGGGCAGTATCTTTGGTTTTAAATGTTACAGAGCAGAAAAGCATACATTTGGATTGATGTGGGACCCACATCTCAACACTGAGCAACTGCAGACAGTTTTATATGATCCAGACACATAGGAGGTTATTCCTGAGGGAGCAACCAGGCAGCCTGGCAGACTAGATAAAAGACACTGTAAGTTCTGTTTACCCCAAGAAGGGGGATGCAGAATTTCTCCACAGATACAGCTCTTCCCAAGAAGGACAGCTTTTCTGCTACTCTTGTATTTCCAGTCCCTCAGAATAGCTATCTCTAAATATTTCCAAATATATATATATATATATATATATATATATATATATGAAATATTTTGGTTTCCTTCACAAGCAAAATAGTATCTAAGCCATGAGGCAGAGGTGACCAATGTCCCTTAGGATGGCACTCTCCTCACACAGTGCTGAGCCGCTGCCCAGGGCGATGCTCAGCAAGGGACTTCCTAGCCCCCTTGCACTGGGCCAAGTGGCTCACTCTTGCCACTGAAGGTGAGGGGAATACCGTTGTCACTTCCAAGTCCAGGCCCTCAGTGTCAGTCAATGTTCTCCTCTCTCCATTAGAGGCCCTAGGGGATGGCAGAACAAGATTGAAGCAGCCTGGGCCCTGGAACCCCACATGTGTCAAAACCCCCTGAGCAAAGAGCATCTGGTGGGCTCCTTGGTGAGCAGAAACAAGCAGCCCTGAGCTGAGCCAGTTGTGTGTGGGTGTTAGTGAGTTAAAGCGGCCAGTGTGGCAGAGTTCTCTAGAGAAATTCTCTTCCCTGTCTCCTCTCCTCCACCCTCCATCCTTCCCCCTGCACTTCCCTTCCCTGTCAGGGCTCCAGCCTGCATAAGTGACCCTGAGTTGCAGCAGTTCCATCTCCTGCCCTTGTTCCTCCAGCCTGGAGCCCCCATTGGCCATTTGTTACCCTAATTGCCGATTTCTGAGTCACTTCACCATTGCCTCCCTGGCTTCTTGGCTCTTCCATCACCTATAGAAGTTTTCTACATTAAAATTTATCTCTTTATAATATGCAACATTAACTTGTATTTTTCTTGTTGATCCTGTTGATACATAGTCCACCAAATGGTTCATAAAAACCAGCTTCTAGGGGAATGGCTGAGTCAGGATTTGAGGCCGGCCTGCCATGGTCATCAGGAAGGAGCATCTGCCTCTCTCTCTCTCTCTGTCTCTCTGTCTCTCTTATCTCACTAAGATGCCTCACTGATACAAGTGGCTGAAAGAGAACAGAATTTGTCCATAGAGAATCCTGGGAGCCCTGCTTTCTGTCCTTCCCTTTCTCTGTAAATAACCATCTCAACTATCCACCTCCCCTTTAGCACAGCTTAGAGGCAGGAAGGCCAGCAGGAAGAAGGCTATCACAACTGTCCAAGGAGAAGGGAATAAGGGCCTTTGGCAGGGGCTGAGACATGGAAAAAGTACAAAGGAATTAATGATGACATAATTCAAAGAAGGAGAGAAGGAGGAGAAGCCAAGGGTAGTGAAAAAGTGGAGGTGGGAGGTTTGGGGAATAGTAAGTAGCTGGATTTCCAAGGGAAGTCAGGTTCTGGCACTGGAATCATCCAGGTGGGAGTTCCAGGTCCAACCTGCAGTTAATGACCAGCGTGACCTTGGCCATCCACAGCTTTATCGTTTCAATCAGTACAACATGAAGAGAACACCATGGATGAAATGTGACTAAATACTTAATACAACCCTCATTCTCCTAATGCTACCTGCTCCCAGATTCTTCCATCCCAAGACTGACTCACTTCTTGCCATCTTCCCTGATGTCAGCCACCTGCCTCAGCAACCACCTCTTCCACAACTCTCTACTCAGTGGATGATGTGCAAAGAGGAAAGCATTAAAAGTCCATATGCAGCCATGACAATCAAAGGAGAAAGCCACGAAAGCAAGGTCATCAGTCTCTCTTCTACTATAATGCACAAAAGCGAAGGTTTGCTAGTTCAACGGTGATTAGGAAATGAGACATTTACTATGAAACCTATATCACAAGAAGAGTCCAAGAAGGGAAGGAGGGTGTTATGGACTGAATTGCCTTCCCCAAAAAATTTAATGTTGAAGCCCTAACCCCCAATGTGACTGTATTTGCATATGGAGCCTTTAGGGAAGTCAATAAAGTTAAATGAGATCATAAAGCTTAGTCTTACCTAATTTGATAAGACTGGTGTCCTTACAGGAAAAGAAGAGAGAGCAGGAGTGGACACACACAGAGGAAAGGCTATGTGAGGACATAGCTAGAAGGTGGCCAGCTATAAGTCAGGAGGAGAGGCCTCACCAGGAACCAACCTTAGTGGCACCTTGAGTTTGGGCTTCTGGCTTCCAGAACTGTGAGAAAATAGTTTTCTCTTGTTTAAGCTGCCCAGTTTGCGGTATTTTGTTATGGCAGCCCTAGCGGACTAACACAAAGGGGTTAAAAAGGGGATGTGCAACCTAAACTTGCATTTGGGTGCCTGAAGATGAGTCTTACTAAGGAATTTAAGGTTGATGCTCACACCTTACCTAGATCAGGGAATTCCTTTGACCCTGAAAGGCGCTGAGAAAACCATGGAGTTAGCAGAAAAGTCTTTATATGAAAGGATCCAGAGGATGGAACTTTTTGGAAATCATGTCTAAAGCTGAATTTCCCTCAGAGGAGAACCGGTCCCTCTATACTCACTACAGAATCACAAATTATCTGTGTAGGACAGACCGCATGCCTCATGCATCAGTCATTGTAAATCAGAATTCCATGTCTACTGGTGCTTTCTCACAAGACATCTCATATTGGTTTACAAAAGTAACATTTGGCTTTATGACTAATAACAAAACTTGCTCCCAGTCTCTGCTCTTTTTTGCCCCTCTACCACCCCCCACCTTTTCAAACTGAAGCCATTCTACTTGATTATTTGAATGGAGGTTTTATTCCTTAGAGAAGTGGATGGGTAAGAGTACATGAAGCCCCGCACAGACCAGAGAGGGAAGGAAGAAAGGAGGGCTTAATCCAGGAAAGAAAGGAATGAAGAACAAAGGCCCCTGCAGGCCAAATCTAACTTATCTCTTTCCCAGCTACACTTAAGTCTAATGCTGCTTGGATGGAATAAGTTTCAAACATAAATTGAGTTGGTCAGAGCTGAGTGGTTCCCAAAGAGCCTAGCAAACTGTCAGATGAGCATGCAATCGACTTGAATGCATGAGATGATCAAGAAACACTTGACTGATTCCTTTGAAAGGTTATGGTAATGTGGTTTCAAAGTTGTAAGTAAAATATTCCGTGTTTTCAGGTAAAATTGCCTCTTTGTCTCTGTTAAAAAGCTTTATTAAAATTAGGGGCAATAAGCAATTAGAAGTTTCATAGCTTAAAGAACTTTCATGACTCAAATGCTTCATATTTAATTGTAATTTATAAATCTTGAAAATAATCGCCTCAAAGGTAATTTAAATAACTTACTTTTTTCTGATGCTGAAATTCTCTCTTGCTAATTTCTGTAATTTCTCATTAATCTGAATTAGTTTCCCTTCTTACACTAATAAAAAAACATAATTTCAACTTCTGTCTAAAGAATGTCTCTTCAAAAGATAATAAATGGATAGGGACAAGTGGTTTTCAACTTTTAATGCTATTTAGTGTCCACTGAGCTAAGAAAATTTAAAAGAAATCCTCAAAAGTCTACTAACAATTACTTTTATCCATTGAAAGGAAAGTTGCCAACACCTAGATTTTAAGGGCATTGAGTAGAATTCTCCTTTTCATCTCTTTGAGAGAATCTGAGGTTTAAACCATGCTCCTTGCATCTTCCATTCAAGCAAAATTGTATTTCTCCAGGTGAGAATATGAAATGCAATGTCTGTTTACTCTGGTGTCAGAGCCTCTAGGTCTAATTTGAAAGCATAGGATGGCAGAATATAATGCAAAATCTAAAATTCAATTAGCAATAGGACTTATGGATTACCATTCCTTCAGTGTAAGGATGAGGGAAGAGAATTCACCCTAAAGGAGTTGTTGTCAGGCTAGGGCGGTGAGGAGCTGATGCCTCCCAAATCAACATTCTAGAATCCTGAGGACCTCAGGAAGAAAACATCGATATCCAAAGAGAGGGAACAACTTTATCAAAGCCAATGACAATGATTATATTTGTACAATGTCTTGCAATTTCCAAAATATGTTTAAATGGGCCCTCTGTGATGCTCACTAAACCAATAAAATAGGTAGGTATTACATGTTTTATTTTACAAATGCAAAAACTAAGGCTTGATATTTCACTGAGTAAACAGAGGCAGTTAGAATAAAACTTTCACAGAATCCCTCCACCAAATGGACCAGCTTGCCTCGTCTTTACTAACACCATCTGCCTTCCCTCCTGACACAATGGCTTGACTCACTTTGTCCCTACCTAAAGACAGCTCCCCCCTGCTGCACTGGCTGCATCTCGTACCCTTTGCAGGATCATCAGTTTTACACCCTTTAATGAGCACACAAACACGCTAAGATTGCTACCATACAATAAAAATCAGTTCCTCCAAGTACTGCACTGTATCTTTATTAACATCAGAATTCTTCAAAATAATTGTCAATCTTCTGTCATTGCTTCTCCACCTTTTAGCTAAGATCAAGTGTATATTGTTTCTGTCCACAACTCTTTATTCTATCCACCTTAAATCCATGGCTGTCAAGCTCTGTCCTTACCACTCCACTGACTTTTCTTCTGTGATCTCCATGCTCCATGTTTCCACATATAAGAGCCGGACCAAAGCTAACCTCTTCCTGCGTGACCCCAGCAGTGGTGTTTGGCACAGTACTTCATTCTTCCTCACCATTTTATCTTACCTCCCCTCCCACCTCTCTGGCCCAACCTTCTCAGTCTCTATCATTTCCTCCTCCTCTTTCCATCCTCTGAACTTCAGAGTGTCCTGGACTCAGCGTTTGCCAGTTTCTCCTCTCACCCACACCTCAGCCAAGCTCATGGCTTTAAATACCATACCACTCATGCACTCACTGCTCCCAAATTTGTACACAGGTCTGATCTCTCCCCTTACCAACATTCACGATGTTGGATGGTCCTGAGCAATCCGCCACATCTCCCTGTCTCACTGCTGAACTCTACTGAAATGCCCACATTTAAATTTGGGCTCCTGTCTCTAGGGCCACAGGCCCTTTGTTGCTATGACCTCTCATCCTGACCATGAGACCTCTCTCCCCCTTTTCTCAGAGACATAGAGAACCCTCAGCTGTTCTTTGACATCCCTGGTACCAAGAGTAACTCCGTGGGACTATCTCTGCCTCAATGACCCCCTGTCATCTCTATTCTACCACTCTCATGCCATGAGAGCACAGATTCCCTGGAAGGCTTTTACCGCCCAGGTCTTCAGGTGGAAGTGGAGCACTAGCCTCCTCTACACTCAGGTCCCAAGTGCTATTTGGGGCTGTGTTGTCTCCACCTTGGAGATAACATGGTAGGGGAGAAGAGATGGGTACAGGGTCCCTCTTAAAACTATTTCCATTCAGTTTTTCCTAATAGTCTCATCCATTTGTATTTTAGACAAATTTATCTAGACTCCTAGAGAGTAAATTTTTTAAAATTTGATAAATATTCTTCCAAATTATCCTGCCTTATATCTGGACCATGACCTTTTTACTTCAAAGCCAAGATTTAAGGTTCTGTTTCCAGTTAGGATGGATTAAGACCATCCCACCCTATCTCCCACTTACTGCAACTAATATGTCTTAAAATAGTATAGAAAAAAGTTATTGAAGAATGTTGAAAAGTAAATAGAAGCAGAGAGACTGCACAGAGAAATCAAACTCAGCAAATAACCCAGATGGCAGTAAATTTTTTTCCCTTTTTCTTAAAATTTGGTTCCTCTCATATTGCCTTACATAGAGTTTGGGGCAACCGAAATCCTGGAATTGTGACATATGGAAAAGGCTCCAAGGGAGAGAAAAAATAAAAACACACACTCTTACACTCACCAGAGAACCTACAAAAGAGTCCCTGCAGTATGGAGCTCTGTCGCGTCTCCCAACCCTAGTTCCGGTGAACACCCATAACAAATCTGGACTCCTGCAGTGGTGGCAGTGGTGATAGCAGCCCCGCAGCCTCCATGACTTGCTGCTTTGCCCTGAAGTGCACGCTGTCATAGGAAGCATGCAACAGCACAGAAACGCTAAAGTACCAGCTTCCTAACTAGGGCACCAGGAAAGAGTGACCCTAAGAATTGCTATGTGTGAGGAACATCACAGAGTAGAAGGAGCTAAAGACGAGAGCCTTTAGATCAATGTGTAAAGTCCTGAGATCATCCGTGAGCTATGGAATGGACAAGAATCAACATAGCAAAGACTTTGAGAACTAAACTACAACATTGAACACTCTCCAGGACCCAGACTGGCCCCTAGGTGGCACACATGTAAAGCAGACAAAATAGCACTGCAACAGCTTTGAAATTAAATTAACATTGAATGCACAGCCTAAAGAAAATGGGTCAAGACTTGCAGAGCAAAGCCAACTAAGTTAACTGCCTGTTAAAATAAAGCAAAACAGGCTGGGCACTGTGGCTCACACCTGTAATCTCAGCACTTTGGGAGGCCAAGGCAGGTGGATTGCTTGAGCTCAGGAGTTTGAGGCCAGCCTAGGAAACATGATGAAACCCCATCTTTACAAAAGCAAAAGCAAAACAAAACAAAACAAAAAAATAGCAAGGTGTGGTGGCACACACCTGAAGTTCCAGCTACTTGGGGGCCACTGAGGTGGATCAACTGATGCCAGGAGGTCAAGGCTGCAGTGAGCAGAGATAGCACCACTGCACTCCAGCCTGGGCTACAGAGTGAGACCCTGTCTCAAAAAAAAAAAAAAAAAAAATCAACATTCCCCCAGAAGATTTTATTAGGACCCAAAATCTTGTAACATAATATTCAAAATATCCAAGAGAGAATCCACAATTATCCAACATACATAAGAGCCAGGAAAACCTTTTTTAAAATTCTCAGAGGAAAAGGCAATTAACAGATGGCAATCCCAAGATAACAGAGATGTTGAAATTATTAGATAAATATTTTAAAGCAATTATAACCATGCTCCATTAGGTGACAGCAAACACTCTTGAAACAATTACACTAATTCCTGGCAAAGAATTAGTGGCTATAAAAAAAGAACCAAATGGAAAATTACGGAAATGAAATATAAAATAACAGAAATAAAAAATTCCCTGGAGAGGCTCAATAACTGAATGTATATGAAAATTAAAGAATCGGGAAGCTAGAAGATAGAGCAATAAAAATCATCTAATATGAACAACAGAGGGAAAAAGATGATTGAGAAAAAAAAGCATAGCCTGAGGAATGTATGAAACCATACCAAAGACTCTAACATTCTGATCAATGATGAGCCTGAAGAAGAGGAGAAAGATATTAGCACAGAAAAAAAAAAAAAAAAACAATAAAGAATACAGTGATGCAAAACAAAAAGAATAATTCATGAAAGAAAAAATTATAATTTGAATTTTTCAAATTCAAACATGAAGAGACATATCAGTGAAGAAGATACACATTAGCAAATAAGACCATGAAAAGATGTCCAACATCACTAGCCATCAGGGAAATACAAATTAAAATCAAGCTGGGATATCACTACACAAGTCTTAAAACAACTAAAATAAAAATTAATGTAAATACCAAACGGTAGCAAGGATGCAGTTAAATTAGATATCTCATACATTGCTGGTGAGATGACTAAATGGTATGCCCACTCCAGAAATAGTTTGGTAGTTGCTTTAAAAATTGAGCATACAGGCCAGGTACAGTGGCTCACGTCTGTAATCCCAGCACTTTGGGTGGATTACCTGAGGTCAGGAGTTCAAGACCAGCCTGACCAACATAGTAAAACCCTGTCTCTACTAAAAATACAAAAATTAGCTGGGTGTGGTGGCACGTGCTTGTAGTCCCAACTACTCAGGAGGCTGAGGCAGGAGAATCACTTGAACCTGGGAGGCAAAGGTTGCAGTGAGCTGAGAGTGCACTGCACTCCAGCTTGGGCAACAGAGTCTCAAAAAAAAAAAAAATTGAACATACAGGCCAGGAGTGATGGCTCACACCTATAATCCCAGCACTTTGGGAGGCCAAGGTGGGCAGATCGCTTAAGCTCAGGAGTTTGAGACCAGCCTGGACAACATGGCAAAATCCTGTCTCTAAAAAAAAAAAAAAAAAATTAACTGAGTGTGGTGGCAGATGCCTGTGGTCCCAGCTACTCAGGAGGCTGAAGTGGGAGGATTGCTTGAGCCCAAGAAGTTGAGGCTGCAGCGAGCTGAGATCACACCACAGCACTCAAACCTGGGCAACAGAATGAGATGTTGTCTCAAAAATAATAATAATAAAAATGAAAACTGAACATACCCTTACCATATAATCCAGCAATCATATTCGTGAGCACTTATTTAAACAATGAAAACATGTTCACACAAGATCCTGTACATGAATGTTCACAGAAACTTTATTAGTAATAGTGCAAAACTGGAAACAACCAAAATTTCCTTCAATAGGTGAATGATTAAGCAACCTGTCTCCATACCAATGAAAATGAATGGATGGCCGGACACAGTGGATCACGCCTGTAATCCCAGCACTTTGGGAGGCCAACATGGCCAGATCACCTGAGATCAGGAGTTCAAGACCTGCCTGGCCAACATATTGAAATCCTGCTTCTATTAAAAATACAAAAATTAGCCAGGCATGGTGGGCGCCTATAATCCCAGCTGCTTGAGAGGCTAAGGCAAGAGATTCACTTGATCCCAGGAGACGGAGGTTGCAGTGAGCCGAGATCATACCACTGCACTCCAGTCTGGGCAAGAGAGTGAGACTCTGTCTCCAAAAAAAATAAAAAATAAAAATAAAGGAAATGAACAGACTATTGATACATGCAACCTAGATGAATCTCAAGGATATTACTGAATGAAAAATGTCAATCTCAAAAAGTCACATACTATATAATTCCATTTATATGACAGTCTTAAAATGACAAGAGTATTAAGACGAAGCACATATTAGTGGTTGCCAGGGATTAGGAATGGGGGTGTTGCACATGACTAAAAAGGGCTAGCGTAAGGGAGATGTTTGAGGTGATAGAATAGTTCTGTATCCTGATTGCAGTTAGATGAATCTGCATGTGTGATAAAAGCGCACAGAACTGTACATGCACATTGTGCTAATGTCAGTTTTCTGATTTTGGTATTATGCTACAGTTACATATGATATAACCACTGGGAGAAACTGCAGGAAAGTTACATGGGATCCCTCCATATCATCTTTGCAACTTCCTGTGTCTATACTTAGTTCAAAATAAAAAGTTTTTTTAAAAGGGTCATAGAACAGTAAATCCAAAAAAGTGAACTGTATGTTAAAAAAAAAAAATTACAAAAACAAGACTTGCAGGCAGAGCTTCAGTCTTCTCCTGTTCTGGTGACCAGTTCTCACACACATGGAACTCACAGAGAAGAATTGAATATCCAGATTAAAAATCAAAACTCAACTGATCTGTCAAAGTAGTATCCACCTCTTTCCATAGAACTGGTACAGGAGTTCCCACGTGACTCCATGTTTGCCAAAAAACACATAGGAAGAGGTGTTCAACTGCAGCTTCACTGAAAGTTTTCCTAACTGTTGAGAAGAGAACACCAGACGAGATGTCTTTGTTTTGGATGTGACATCTGTAACAGCCATGGCCATTCACCAAGCACAAAAACAAAGTCAATCCACAAAGGAAGGCAGAGTGAGGAGAACCACAGAGAAGTGGGATTGGGGCCCGGTCCAACACCACACTGATTCTGAATCCACTCTCCATCTGGACCCCTTGTAATGTGACATAATTAACTTCTTAATTGTGAAGTCAGTCAAAGTTGGGATGGTTACCTGGAGATGAAGCCATCCTACATGAGATGGTAAGAACCTTCATTAACAGAGAACTCGCTGGATTTTCCTTGGTTTTGGAAGTTGTTCCCAAACACAAGTGGGTATCAGAATCACTTGCAGGTGATTAAACCATAGATTACTCAGTTCCATCCACAGACTTTCTAATTTCTTAGGTCTGAGGACCAAGGATTGCATTTTTAAGAAGTTCTCAAGTAATATTTACATTGTTCTTTCAGAGCTACACATGGAGAATCACTGTTTTGGACTAATTGCTTCAACTCTTTCCTGTTAATTCGAGCTCCCCTGCAGGGCAGTGAAATTGCTTGGCAGGAACACACCTGAATCCCATGTGATTCAAGGTAACTCAATCCCAAAGGCAAAAAGCATAAGGGAGTCATTTACTTTCCACAGTAATTACCCCCACCCCAGGGACAACATCCTCTATGCCATATGATAAATAATTCTTACATGAATAAAATTATCACTAAGCAAGCCATTCAGATTGTGATTATTTGGAGATTAGCAAGAATAGGATTCATTTTGTGTGACATTAAATAAAAATATCTTGCAGCTAAATCCTGAGAATGACTTGCTCACACCCATTTGGCAAACTGTTATCAAATAGATTCCTATGTTCTGAACACTCTACTAAGCACTGGTTACAAAGGTAAGTTGTCCTCTCTCCTTAAACTCACAATTTAATAAAGGGAAGATTTCAATATTTACGCTATGATGAGGTTTTCTCTAATAGTGGAGAACACAGGGTACTGCCAGACCACAGAGAAAGGAGGTACCCATCTTCACAGAACTCAAGGGAGCCCTGTGTGGGCTTCCATTTGTCAAACAGTCTACAAATAATTTTTATTCAATGATTTTCCTTGATCTTCACAATGACCCTGCAAGGCCGATACGGGCATGAACATTTTTCTCATTTCAGGAAACCTGAGGTAAACTGAGGCTCTGGAAACAGAGCTCACTTACTATTAAAGAGCAGGCAATGATGCAAACTCTGGACTCTGACATGACCCTCTCTCTCCCTTATCCCCAGCCCCTTTGCAGGACATCCCTGTCAACTCCAGTGGTTCTCAGACAGTCTGATCTTTTAAGGATTGCTAAGGATCAAAGGATTGATGATTTCAGCAAACAGCTAGATAATAGGCAGGACTGGCCCATTAGTCATAAAAGATCTGCTTTAGAAAATCTGAGAAATGTGGCTGGGCATGGTGGCTCATGCCTGTAATCCCAGAACTTTGGGAGGCAGACACAGGTAGATCACTTCAGGCCAGGAGTTCGAGACCAGCCTGGCCATCATGGCAAAACCCCGTCTCTACTAAAAATACAAAAATTAGCTGGGTGTGGCGTCACCCACCTCTAATCCCAGCTACAGATGGGAGAATCACTTGAACCCAGGAGGCAGAAGTTGCAGTGAGTGGAGATCACACCACTACACTCCAGCCTGAATGACACAGTGAGACTCTGTCTCATAAAAAGAAAAAGAAAAGAAAAACTGTGAAATGAATAAACTATGGTGGTGCTGTCTTGAGGGTAACTACAGATCAAATCTCTGACTTGAGGGTGGATTTCTGCTCGTATGACATGGAAAGCTGATAACTACCTTTTGAAACAATAGAATTGGTTTTGCTTCAATGGTGGTTGTTTAAAACACGCTTTTTTCTTCATTTTCTCATTTGTTTAAAGAAAATTAAGACCCATTAAGGTGGTACTCTTTCCATTATTAATCTGTATCACTTTAGAGTTTACACAATTTGTTTAGTGACCTTTTCCTTCACTTCTCAATAACCAGCTGGTACTTTTTCTTAATATTCTATTTCATATTCTGGCTCTATAGTATATTTTAATTTAAATATATTAATTAGATACAAAGTGAATTCTTTTGGCTTTTCATATTATGAAATGAGAAAAATCCTTCCAGTTTTGCAAAATTTTTGCTAGACTGAATGCTATTGAAGTTTTCAGCAATTGCTTAAAGTTTAGAGACATTTTACAGATATAACTTTTTAATTATTAAAATTTTTTAAGTTACAGGTTTAAATGTCAGAAAAATATATTATGATCCATTTTTTTTAAAAAAAAGGGAAGGGAGGGAGGAAAGGAGAAAGGGAAAAGGAAAGGAAGGAAAGGATGAGTAGTAGGGAAGAGGAGGGGAGGGGAAGGGAGAGAGAGGAAAGAAGAATGCATGGAGGGAGAGAGGGAAGGAAGGAGGGAAGGAAGGAAGAAAGGAAGGGAGGACTGAAGGAAGGAAGGAAGAAAAGGAATGAAGGAAGGAAGAAAAGGAAAAGGAAGAAAAGGAAGGAAGGGTGAAAGCCATCACAAACAGGGGGAAGGATTACAGGATTGAGGAGGCAAGCAGTTACATAATGCACACTCTGAGGACTTGTAAAAGTAACATCTAGCACTTCAATGCTTTACATTGCCAAGGGTGTTTCAAAACAAAAAGAAAACTGGGAAACAAAAGGGGGAACACACTCCTCTGAAACTGGGCTATGGTATAGACCAAATGGTCTACCCATACTCCCAATCAAATTATAGTAATCTTTCTTAATTTATATGCAAGATTTAACTCTTTGAAGCCCCAATCATTTGATTGCTTGGGGCAAACAATATAATAGGAAACTCGGTCCAACTGTGGCTCATAAGAAGTACAAGTGCTGCCGCATTGTAACCCTGGGTCCCCAGTTTTGGGGTAGCACTGTGAAAAACTACCCACTTGTAACTATTGCACCTTGAATTCCATGAAGAAGCCCAGCACCTGAAAAACAAAAAACAGTTGGATCCAGAGATGCTAGATTTGGAAATGAACTTCAGTGAACTCCCCTCATTACCATACTAAAATCCTCACCCAGGGAGGAGCTTACTCAACTTTTCCTATACATGCGATGTGTGTAGTAGCATGATTAGCAACTGCACCTGCACTGACTTGACTTTACCTCTACATACAATGACTCAGCTCACCAGCCCAGTAAAAGCCCTGTTTCCACCATCGCTCAGGGAAGCACTGCTTTAGGAACTATGCCTGGTGTCCTCCTTACTTGTTACAAATAACAAAACCCCTGTTAAATCCTCCTTGGTTGTGGTCATTGTGACACAGGAGTTAAAAAGAAATTATTTAGGCAGATAGTGAGGGTAAGAATCCTTGGTAAGGTATTCCTTTTAATAAAAAGTAGCCCCCAATTTTTTTTTTTTTTTTTGGACAAGTTCTTTCTCTGTCACTCAGGCTGGAGTGCAGTGGCATGATCTTGACTCGCTGCAACCTCCACCTCCCGGGTTTGAGGGATTCTCATGCCTCAGCCTCCAGAGTAGCTGGGATTACAGACGCATGCCACCACACCCAGCTAATTATTTTGTATTTTTAGTAGAGACAGGGTTTCACCAGTTTGGCCAGGCTGGTCACGAACCCCTGACCTCAAGTTATCCACCCACCTCAGCCTTGGTGAGCCACCAAGCCCGGCCAAATCATTTCTTTTTTTAACAAAGAGCAGCCTGTAAAATCGAGCTGCAAACATAGATAAGCAAGCTGGGAGCTTGCACAGGTGAATGTCAGCAGCTGTGCCAATAGGAAAAGGCTACCTGGGGGCTAGGCATGTTCAACATGGTGGCTCCATCTTCTGTGGGAAAGAGAGTTTCTAGGGTGCCAGATGAGTTGGTCTCCCCTGTGTGAGACACCCAGGGGGAGCCATGGGCGGCCTCTGAGGAGAAAAGTCTCCTTATTGCCTTCATGTCTTTATGCCCGAGAGCATAACAGCTCCGCGGCATTCCACAGGTTGCTCAGGGAGATAACACTCCCTTGAAGCAGTGGAGTATAATCAAACATCTTGGCTCCTCCTGAAACCCACTCCCACCCATTTCAGTCCAGATAACTTAAAGATCTTAGTAGTTTAGACACATGCCTTTGCTCAGGAAATTCACAGAAACCACCACTGCTCTACATCTTATTGAATGACTCAAGAGTTCTCCTTCACTGATTAATCCTTTTCCTCATCCCTTCCTCCCCCTCCCATCTGCCCTAAGAACAAAGAGCTTGTAAACCAATAAATTAGGTGGAGCCCGAGAACTCTGGGCCATGAGCAAGCCTCTGACACTCAGGTCTCCTGAACCTGCCTTTTAAACTCTTATTCTGTCTCTTTCTAACTCCTTTGCCTCCGCTGGACTCAGGGTACCCACCGGGTGGTGTGGGGCTGGTTTTCCCAACATCTTCTCTTTTCTTTGTCAACCATGTGTGCAGTAAGGAGCAGACAACAGGGCGCTGGCCAGGTAGAGAACCCAGCTGCATAATAAAAGATTAGGGTGGGGTGGTCATCTTCTTTGCATGCTATGTAAATGGCACACCTGGTCCAACCAATCTTTTGGCCCCATGTTAATCAGACACTTCCTACTCAAGCCAGTCTATAAGACCCCATGCACTATGCAGTGGTCCAGAAAACCCACTCAGGAGCTCCTCTCTTTCTGCAAGAAAGAGAGCAATTCTCTTTTCTTTTTCTTTTGTCTATTAAACCTCCACTCTTAAACTCACTTTTTGTATGTTCACGTCCTTGATTTCCCTCCTGTGAGACAACGAACCTCTGGTATTTACCCCAGACATCAATGCCACTTCAAGTGAACTGTCACCCACCAAGCAATTGAACCCACCCTTTGTGTGAGTAAAAATCCCTGCCCAAAACATAATCCGTGGAAACCTTTACACAGTTATCAAGGTTGTTTTCCTTAAAGGCTGATTGGAGGTGTCAGGCCTCTGAGCCCAAGCCAAGCCATCGCATCCCCTGTGACTTGCACGTATATGCCCAGATGGCCTGAAGTAACTGAAGAATCACAAAAGAAGTGAATATGCCCTGTCCCACCTTAACTGATGACATTCCACCACAAAAGAAGTGTAAATGGCCAGTCCTTGCCTTAAGTGATGACATTATCTTGTGAAAGTCCTTTTCCTGGCTCATCCTGGCTCAAAAAGCACCCTCACTGAGCACCTTGCCACCCCCACTCCTGCCCACCAGAGAACAAACCCCCTTTGACTGTAATTTTCCTTTACCTACACAAATCCTATAAAACTGCCCCACCCTTATCTCCCTTTGCTGACTCTCTTTTCGGACTCAGCCCGCCTGCACCCAGGTGAAATAAACAGCCATGTTGCTCACACAAAGCCTGTTTGGTGGTCTCTTCACATGGACACGCATGAAAGGAGGTATGGCAACTAGAGTTTATTCGCCTACCACCATCACCTTTGGCCATAAGTAAAATTCCCTTAGAAAAAAATAATTTCAACTTTGGGACTTTCTCTCAAATGAACTTATTTTATGAGTGTATGGGACACTCATTTTATTGGACAAACAATCCAGTCAGCATGTGAAATATGGCCCGTTCTACAACATTTTCCTTGTGCCAGTCATCCCCAGTCATCTGGATTAGTGGAACACACTGATGATGAAAAGAGTCAAACTCTGTAAAATATTTGAAGAGATTTATCCTGAGTGTTGACGAAAAGAGTCAAACTGTAAAATCTTCAAAGAGATTTATTCTGAGCCAAATATGAGTGAACATGGCCCATGACACAGCCCTCATGAGGTCCTGAGAACATATGCCCAAGGTGGTTGCGGGGGTGCAGCTTGATTTTATATATTTTAGGGAGACATAAGACTTCAATCAAATACATTTAAGAAATACATTGGCTTATTGGTTTGTTCTAGAAAGGCTGGACAACTCGAATCCGGTGGTGGGGTCTGGGCAGCTTCCAGGCTATAGGTAAATTTAAACATTTTCTGATTGACAATTGGTTGAGTTTGTCTAAAGACCTGGGATCAATAGAAAGGAAATGTTCAGGTTAAGATAAAAGACTGTGGAGACCAAGACTCTTTTGAAGTCTCATAGCAGCTGCCCTTAGAAACAATAGATGACAAATGCTTCCTATTAAGACCTTTTAAAAGGTGTGAGACTCTTAGTTAACTGATTCAGAATTGGAAGGGCCTGGAAGGAAAAGGTCTGTTTATCTTAATAGATATTCTTTCCAGAGGCAAATTTTCCCCACAAATGACAGCTTGCAGGGCCATTTCAAAATGTGACAAAGAAACATGTTTTTGGGATAAAATATTTTGATTTTGTTCCTTGTCTCATAATGTTATGCCAGAGTAGGTTGGAAAGTAAGTCACAATACATAGGATTAAATAAAACCAATCTGATGAGAATTTATGGTTTGTAGGGCATGACTCCCCTGACCACTTAGATAGGAATTTGGGCAAGATAAAAAAAAAAAAAAAAAGCAGAGTTTATGGCCAGGTGTGGTGGCTCACATCTGTAATCCCAGCATTTTGGGAAGCCGAGGCAGGTGGATCAAGAGGTCAAGAGATCAAGACCATCCTGGTCAACATGGTGAAACCCCATGTCTACTAAAAATACAAAAATTAGCTGGGCATGGTGGCACACCCCTGTAGTCCTAGCTACTTGGGAGGCTGAGGCAGGAGAATCGTTTGAACTCAGGAGTTGGAGGTTGCAGTGAGCCAAGATAGCGCCACTGCACTCCAGCCCAGCAACAGAGTGAGACTCTGTCTCAAAAAAAAAAATGTTTAAATTTACCTATAGCCTGGAAGTTGCCCAGACCCCACCACCTGATTCGAGTTGTCCAGCTCCTTATGAGCTAAATATGAATGACCATGGCCTGTGACACAGCCCTCAGGAGATCCTGAGAACATGTGCCCAGGGTGGTTGTGAGGCAGGAAAATAGGGTCTAGAAGAAGAGAACATAAGGCCTATTCACACTTCAGCTATGACAGGAAATATCCTCTGCTGGGTCTGTCCCGCAGACCCTGGATGAAATGAGCACTCACACATAGGTATGCAGTGTAAGAGCAGCTAGGTGACTGCCTGGCTCTAGTGGCCAGAGAGCAGCCCTGAGAAGCTGGAGCTGCTTGCGTTTATTCAGTGTAGGCATAATGCCAAAAGCCTGGAGCAAATGCAACCCGTAAGTAATTAACATTTATTGTTCCCCTTTCAGGGGAATGATCAAAGGTCAGTTCCTGGTCAACATAAGTAAACAAGCCTGTTTAAGATAAATTCCCCTACACTCCCTTGTACCTACTCTTTGCCCTCTGCATCAGGGTTATAGAACAGCTGCCTTCAACTATTCTCCCCATGGGGCTCTGCAGAAACTCCGACCTTTCAGAAGGCTTGTGTCCTTTCCCTAGAGTTTTTCCCACCACTCTGACTGGTCCCCCACATCTCCCCCTTTTCTGGTTTGTTTTGTTTTGATTTGTTTCGTTTTGTCTGCATCAGGTTTTGTTGATGTGCACAGTGACAGGTTTGACTGGTGCGGCAGTTACAGCTCATGTTCCGGCTTTGCATCCTAGAACCAGTAAATAACATAAGACAAACATGAGTATAATCAGTATTATTCCTTTCCAATCAAAGAGCGATATGTAGTGTTACTTGGCACCTCAGTCCAATGTGTGCCATTACTGAGGGACCCCATCGGTGGTATGTCAGTCCCTCCCAGCCAATCATTCATGTTGTTAGAGGCTGGGAAGGGAGTGTCTGCCCAAGTAACAGGGCGGAAAAAAGGCAGATCTAGAAGATGGGCCCAATAGAGTGTAGCAGGTAGAGGTAGCAGGCAAAGTAAGAGACTAAAAAAGATTAATACCCTATGAGAGATGCAATGTACAACAGAAAGCATAGCAAGGAACAAATTATCTGGAGTGAATGGTATCTGTGTCTGGAGCAGGATTTGCTAAGCCTCCTGAGTTATCTTCTCCAGCAAAATGTCCAGGGTCTGTGTTGCCCGAGGAAGCTGCATCATCCAGGGCTGTGGGTCCTGCAAGGTCATTTCCTTCATTTCTGGTACCAGGTTGGGTTCTAGCCACACCACAGTATGGTTTGATGCATCATACTGGAATCCAAAGAGGACCTGAGGGGGTCTGCACACAAGCATATCCTCTTCCCCACGTTAGCAAATCATTTGGACCACACTATACATTACTATTTACATCTTTCCATAAAATGAAGGTTTTATATCTTGAGTGATTTTTGCAAAGTGCTTTTCTATAGCTGATTGAAACTTATCCTCTAAATTTAAGAAATTAAGGGTAAATAAGGCTTGTGCCAATAGTGTTTCAGGGTCCTTACTCATATTCCCCCTTTGTTGTTTTCTGAGCATATTTTTAAGGGTAGAGTGGGCAGGTTCTGCTATGGCCTGTCCTTGGGGATTATATGGGATACCTGTGGAATGTTGGACATTCCATGTGTGACAAAATTGTTGAAATTGTGAGCTGGTGTAAGCTGGACTGTTATCAGTTTTAATCTCTGTGGGCAACCCCATAAACACAAAAGAGAAGAAGATGTTTAATGACATATCAGCCAGACTCTCCAGGAAGAGCAATTAGGTGGGAATTGGTATCCATGGATACATGTACATATCTTAGTTTTCCAAATTCAGGGACATGCGTAACATCTGTTTGCCATGACTGATTTGGTTCTAGTCCCCTAGGGTTGATACCTGTTGAGGAAGGGGACTTGCCTGTGAGCTGGCAATCTGGGCACTGCAGGATAATTTGTTTAGCTAGTCTTTAGGTTAACTGAAATTGTTTAGAAAAATTTCTCCAATTTTGGTGGAAAAATTGATGTGATTGGGTGGCTTGGCCAAGCAGTGATGTCATAACCTGCAGGTCTGCTTGATCATTGCCGTGAACTAGTGGACCGGGCAGCAAGCTGTGGGTCCGAATGTGTGTGATAAAAACAGAATGTGTCCACTGACCCAGCGATTGCTGAAGTCAAAGAAAAAGGATGCACAGGGTGGGCTCAAGAGTGGACTTAATGAGGGCTGTTTCAAGGTTTTAGAATAAATAAACAGAGTAAGCAGAGTCACTAACAACATTGATGGGCTGAGTGGAAAAGGTTTCCAGAGCCAATATTAGGGCTCCAACCTCAGCTCTCTGAGTACTAGTAAATCCAGATCGAGTAAGGGAGTTATGTGGTTCCCACCAGATAGCTGCTTTTCCATTTTTACCAGAGCCATCAGTGGAAAGCATTAAAGTGTTAGGTATGGGGGAGTGAACTACCTTTGTAGGCATAACTACAGTAGTATGAGATAAGAATTGGAATAGTTCATCAGTGAAGGGGATGTTCTATATGGCCTGCATAATTAGAGAGTACTATCTGAAGGTGTCCTATTAATCCTGTTGTTTAATAGGAAATACAAATAATTGGACTGAATATTGTGGGTCTATGCAATCTAGTTGCCTCTGAGAAATAGCTTGCTCTATTTCCTCAATTTCTGTTTTTGAAGCAGGGGTTAAATACCTGGGGGAGTCCAGGGCTGCATTGCCCTTTAAGATAGAAAACAGGTTCTGTAATTTGTCGGTAGTTATGCCCAAGTTGGGGTGAAGCCAGTTAATATCACCTGATAATTTTTGATAGCCATTTAAGGTATGTAAATTGTTAGTATTCAATTTAACCTTTTGAGGTCTTACTGACCAGAAAGTTAGTATATATCCAAGATATTTCCAAGGGGAGGACATCTGTGCCTTTTCATGTGCTATGATTAAAGCTCTTAACTGTGTATTCCTTTTGACAGAGGCATATAAACTCAAAAGTATTGGCTCCGTTAGGGCTGCCAGTAAAATGTCATCCATATAATGGATGATCTTGAAATTAGGAAGTTCTTTTCTACTGGGGAGCAAAGTCTGATTTACATGATACTGACACATGGTAGGACTGTTCAACATTCCTTGAGGAAGTACTTTTCAATAAATCAGTGAGCTGGCCTTTCATTATTGATAGCTGGTATTGCAAATGCAAATTTTTCTCTGTCCTGTTCTGCAAGGGGAATAGCATAAAAGCAGTCTTTTAAGTCAATAATGACTCCAGGCCAATCTCAAAGAATCACTGCAGGGGAAGGGACCCCCTGTTGAAGGGGCCCCATAGGTTGCAAATTAGCATTGATAGCATGTAAGTCATACAAAAGTCTCCGTTTACCAGAATTTTTGGGAATGACACAAATGGATGAATTCCAAGGGCTGTTTGATGGTTCTATATGGCCAGCTGTTAATTGTCCCTCAACTAATTCGTGGGATCATTGTTAACTTGTCTCCCTTTTAAGGCCACTTTTCTACCCAAACTGGATCTTGTCATGTCCCAAATTGGAGCCATGTCAGGGGTAGGGGAGAAATTACAACAGTGGCTATTATCAGAAAGGGGTCATATGGTAGTTGTCTGCTATGGCCTCAATTAATCCCCTTGTAAATGGGCAAGTGGCTCCATTTTCTCTAATGCTTTTTCTTATTTTTTATAAGTGTTGAAAGTAATGGGTTCATGTACCCCATTGCCTTGTTGATCTTGCATCACCAGGCAAGCCAAGAGCTCCCCTTCTAATGCCACTTGCTTAAGACAGGGTCCCATAACTATAGTGTATCCCTTGTCTTTTTTCCAATTAACTGAGGGAGGGGGCTCAGGGAAAATCTGTCCCCTCTGTGGCACCTTTACCTGGTAACAGCAGGGCTGAGGGAGGAGGATGAGGTGGTAAAGTAGATGATGGCTCTTCCTCCCCTCCCTTTTTATGCTCTTCTGTGTAAAGCAGGGCCAAAGCAGCCCTAACTAAGGCCCATAACGTTAAAGATGTTACTGGGACTCACTGTCGTTGTACATAATGTTATTTAAGAATTTTTCCTACTTGTTCCCAGAGCTTTAAGTCTAGTGTGCCTTCTGAGAATGATGGATTATGGAAAACAACAGTTTGCATTAGGTCCCTTAACTGGGACTCTGAGAGCAAGGCTTTGCTAGCTTTAATCAGCGGTTTCAACACTTTCATATACTGTTGCTGTTAAGCTGATAACTGTTGTCCCATGATGAAACCCCAGCTTGAAAATCCCTTCAAACTTGGAAATCAATCCCCAGCAGGCACCAATTATTTACTGCACAGTCACTTCACTTTCATTTTTGAGGGTTCTGTCGTGATCCGTTGCAGTGTTCCTCACACAGGGCACCTCCTGCCAGGTCTGTCCTGCAGACCCTGGCTGACAGATGAAATGAGTGCTCACACACAGGCATGCAGTGTAAGAGCAGCTAGGTGACTGCCTGGCTCTAGTGGCCAGAGAGCAGCCCAGAGAAGCTGGAGCTGCTTGCTTTTATTCAGTGCAGGCATAATGCCAAAAGCCTGGAGCAAACACAAGCTGTAGGTAGTTAACATTTATTGTTCCCCTTTCAGAGAATGTCAGGCATGCAGATGATCAAAGGTCAGTTCCTGGTCAACATAAGTAAACAAGCCTGTTTATGATAAATTCGCCTGCATTCCCTTGTACCTACTCCTTGCCCCCTGCATCAGGGTTATACAACAGCTGCCTTCAGCTATTCTCCCATGGGCTCTGCAGAATCTCCGACCTTTCAGAAGGTTTGCGCCCTTTCCCTATCATTTTTCCCACCACTATAACCAATCTCCCACAATCCTCTCCGTAGGGCATAGGCCAAGTAAATGACTTTGTAACTTTACTTCATCCTCTTCATTTACATAGGGCATACCCCAAGTAGAGAATATTGAAACTCCCAAAAATTCTGAACCTCTATGCTCAGGCCCACTCCCACACTGTGGAGTGTACTTTCATTTTCAATAAAACCCTTCATTCCTTCCTTGCTTTGTTTGTGCATTTTGTCCAATTCTTTGTTGAGGACATCAAGAGCCTGGACACCTTCCACCATTAGCAGATTTTGCTCAGCCAGCCAGGAGGAAGATGTAAGCCCAAAGTTTGGGATTCATTTTTCTCCCTTTCCTTTCTGCTCCATGCAGGGGCCCTCTCTCTCCCTCTCTTTTCCTTTTCAACTTGGGACCCTTGGTGGGCAGCGCCCAAACATGGAAGGAACTGCAGGTTTCTGGCCGTGGCCAGTGAAACTAAGGAGTTTCCATGTGGAGAAGCCTGACTGCCACCTCCTGGTTGGCTTAAGGAACTTGGGTCTTTTTCTTTCTTTTTTTTTTCCCTTCTTTCTTTTTCGGTCTTTCAGCTGCCATTTACAATTGCCCTGCCCCGAAGGGGGAAGGACTTTTTAAAAATATTTTCCACGCATGGTCCCTGATCCCTACATGAAGCACAGCTTGGAGCAAACTCGCACATGTTTCAGGGGACGTAAACCTTCTTTTCCTATGCTAAATTTTTCCCTGATCATACTCAACTGGCTGAGGAACAAAAAGGCCCACCCGGCATCCAGTTCTTCACATTACAGTTCATGTCTGTTCTTATAAAGCTCATAATAGGCTCTGGCGGGGAAAACCTGCATGTGGCACCCACCTAAGGCCAGAGATGTCTGGCACTCTAAGATCGGGCCCCACAGGAAGACGCTCCCGGGGGTCCAGCAGACCTCAGCCTGCCCAAAAGGGCTGCTCTCGTCAGAGGTTCTGAGGTCTAGTATTAACCCTCCTTAGAATTTTCTCTCACAGTGGCAATGCTGTTTGGCTCCAACATTGTTTGGAATCTGGAGTTTACTGTTGAATGGAAAGTGGAATAGCATTGTATGTATCCAGACTTTTGTGCTGCCGTTCTAAGCAGGGGGCCTGGTTCACGTGTGACGCCCTCCTTTGGCTTGGTTTGGCCCCAGTGCTCTTGGGAATCTGGGGAGGTTTGGCCTTTAAAAATAAAACTGCCAGGCCACTGGGATCACTGCTCATGCCTGTGATCCAAGTACTTTAGGAGGCCAAGGTGGGTGGATCACCTGAGGTCAGGAGTTTGAGACCAGCCTGGCCAACATGACGAAACCTCGTCTCTACTAAAAATACAAAAAACTAGCCAGGCATAGTGACGGGCAACTGTAGTCCTAGCTACTCAGGAGGCTGAGGCATGAGAAAGGCTTGAACCTGGGAGGCGGAGGTTGCAGTGAGCCGAGATCATGCCACTGCACTCCAGCCTGGGTGACAGAGTAAGATGTGGTCTCAAAAAAAAAAAAAAATCAAACTGCCATGGAGACTGCTTTATCTGAAATTTTGGTTCACAGCCTTCATTGGATTATCTATTGGGGCAAAGTAAAACCAGCAAGCTTGTATTGCTATCTCATGGCTAAGGTTCCAAGCTATTGGATCTTCATTTATGTATGTGTATACATGTCTAGATGTGTTTATTTGTATGTACACTGTTGTACATATGTTGTGTCTATCAAATTGGCTTATAAGTAAAAGAGCACTCATAAATTAAGTAAATAAGTCTAAGAATTTCAAGTTCATGTGACTTAAAGTATACCTTTACTAAACAAGCTAGCTTTAAAATTATTGGTGGGATAAAAATAGAAATGCCTTCAGAATTGTCAACATACATTTTGTCTGAATTTTATGTTTGTCTTTGCTAGATATTTTAAAATGTCAGTGTTAATTCAAGCTGGTAGCTGCTTGGAGCAAGCTATTCAAAGTCTCACTGAAATAAATGCATATCTGGTTCCTTCCTTTGGAAAGGCTCATCAGAAACTCAAAAGAATGCAACCATTCCTCTCACACCTACCTGTAACCTGGAAGCCCTAACCCCCTCCCAGCTTCTAGTTGTCCTGCCTTTCCAGATGGAACCAATGTTCATTTTACATATGTTGATTGATATCTCATGTCTCCCTTGTTAAAAGTAAAAAAAAATTAAGTACAGTGAATGGGATAAATGTTTTAGGTAAACTTTTTTTGTAAATTAAAATCTTATTTTTAACATTCATTTAATATCTGGGTCATTTCCAATTAAGAAAGGGTTGTAATATAGGGAAATATGTTTCTAAAATTGTGGAATTGTTCTTATTTATGAATGCCCATATCTAATAGTTCAGGATTTCTTGCTTTTTAGAGTTTTGCTAAAGTTTTAGGTTACTAGGGATACAATTCTAGTTAACACGTAATTCTGTATACAAAACGTGCCAGAAAGGGTTATTAGTGGAAAAAAAATTATTTTGCCTATTCAGAAGTTATCTAAAAGTTAGCTCAAATTACAGAGCTTTCAAAAGGTTATTTATGAAACAATGTAGTAAGGAATTTTTAAACAGGGAGAAAGATGTGGAAAAAGTTTAAATAATAAAATATTCTTTAAAACCTGATAAAGAATTGGAAACATTTGGCTAATTAGCATTTTCGTAATTAAATCTCTTAATCTTGATTAAAATAAAATAAAAAGTATTGTACAATGCATCGGCAGTTTGGCAATTCTTTTTTTAATATAGTTAAACATGAAGCTGGATTTAGTGTAAAGCCAAATTTCACATACACGCTTGCATTGTTTCACACTATGGTTACTGTTTTGTGTGGCTAGTGTTAGAGTACTTATTGGTCATGTGCCTAAAGAGGATTTCTTTCTTTTTCTTTTTCTTTTTTTTTTTTTTTGAGATTGAGTCTTTTTCTGTTGCCCGGGCTGGAGTGCAGTGGCTCGATCTCGGCTAACTGCAACCTCCACCTCCCGGGTTCAAGCGATTCTCCTGCCTCAGCCTCCCAAGTAGCTGAGACTACAGGCACATATCACCATGCCCAGCTAATTTTTGTATTGTTAGTGGTACTAGGTTTCACCATGTTGGCCAAGCTGGTCTCAAACTCTTGACCTCAAGTAATCCATCTTCTTGATTGCACGGAAGTATAATGATATTGGTGAATTTAAGGGTATTGAATTGTGTATCAGGAATAAAATATTCATTATGTGGGTTTTGGGGGGCCCTAGGTAACACTGTAGCCTCCAGGGTAAATTAAGTAGGAAAATTTAGGATTGGTTTTCTGTTTATTTGTTTTTGCTTCTAGTTTTCATTCATTTGCTGGTTATTCTCCTCTGGCTTTGCTTGTGTATCCATATATATAAAACCCTGATGCTTTTTAGTTTCTAGTAGAAGGCTTTTATTTGGTTCTATGAATAGTTATTTTGTTTCCTTGGCATTTCCAGCAAGTCATCATTCACTTCATTTACCTGGAATTTATAAGCTACTTTTGTCAAGCTGCAGGAATTGATGGAGCACACCAGCTATAAACTAACTTTTTGGATTTTAGGCTTCTTGATACTTTAAATGGGCTGAGTATACTTTCATAAATAGAATTTGAGTCATATTTCTCCCTCTGCCTAATTTCTCCAACATTTGTAAACTATTTGTGAATATTCTTAATTCATGACAATGTGTTTTTTTGCATACAGTCAAGCAGGGCTGCCAGGGCTGCCAGGGCTGCTTAGGGAGAGAGAACCCAGAAACCTGGCATGCCAGCAAAAGGGTGAGAATTTCTCACCAGTCAGTTTCTGGCCTCTTTCTGTCTGTGTAAACTGATTAAATATAAAGAAAAAGTCACTGTTTATCCCCTCTGTAAACTTTTAAATTAATTGGTTTAATAACAATAAGAGCTTAAATCAAATATTTTGTCAGAAATGTAGAAAATGTAATGCCTTTTAGCTTACATGACTTTAGCAATCTTTGGGAAATAAAGATGGTTTTAGGGCTGAGTGCAGTGGCTCACGCCTGTAATCCCAGCACTTTGGGAGGCCAAGGCGGGTGGATCACGAGGTCAGGAGATCGAGACCATCCTGGCTAACATGGTGAAACCCCGTCTCTAGTAAAAATACAAAAAATTAGCTGGGCGTGGTGGTGGGCGCCTGTAGTCCCAGCTACGCATGAGGCTGAGGCAGGAGAATGGTGTGAACCCAGGAGGCAGAGCTTGCAGTGAGCTGAGATCATGCCACTGCACTCCAACCTGGGCTACAAAGCGAGACTCTGTCTTAAAAAAAAAAAAAAAAAAGAGGGTTTTAAAGATTATTGGTAAAATACAATTGTCTTCAAAATGTAAACATGTGGTCTAAATTATGTTGAAATGTTAGGTTTGCTATATGCTTTAAGGTCATAGGCTGCTTTTTTTGCTTTTGAAAATTGTTTAACTCACCTGCTTTCCAGCTAGGTGAGGCCTAGGAACATGTGGGGTTGGCCATGCCCCAGCTATGCTGGAAATAGTCAAACCTTATCAGAACATAACTTACTAGGTTTTACACTAAAGTGAAAATTGCTAAGAGTTACCACTGTAACATGCATTTAAGACTACTACAAACAGTTTCACATACAAGGCATGTAAAAACAGGAGAATGTGCCCTTTTTGTAAAAGGTTATAAAAGGTTTTTGCTTCTTTATAATTTCTGAGTCATCATTTTGGCAAAATAAATGATTTATGGTAATATGGAGTTCCAAAATAAAACTTCAGTTTCAAAATTGTCTCTCCTAATGCCTGGCTTTCTGGATGGATCAGAGGGCCCTGAAAACATACAGAGAAGAGGTAAACAGGATTATTTGACATGTTTAGGTACATGGGATTGCCAAAATGGTGTTCAATCTTCTTTAGGTTATATTTTTGTGAATAATCTAACATATGTTCCAAACTTATATGGGATTTCTAAAATAGTATATGCTATCAATTATAATTATGGTTATTATGTTATTGTAAACCACAGAAATAACCAAATTTCCTTGTATAAAGCTACTAACCCAAAAATTAATTAAATACCAAGAAAATACTTTGTCAGATTTTCATGTTAAGCCAGCTGACACTGAAATTGTTTAAAATAGTTTATAACCAATGCTTGACCCCATATTCCTGGGAAAACAATTAAAGCTTCACGTACATTTTGTCAGGCATGGTGACCCATGTCTGTGATTCCAGCTCTTTGGGAGGCCAAGGCGGGCAGATCACTTGAGGTCAAGAGTTCAAGACCAGCCTGGCTAACATGGTGAAACCCCCTCTCTACTAAAAATACAAAAATTAGCCAGGCATGGTGGTAGATGCCTGTAATCCCAGCTACTTGGGAGGCTGAGACAGGAGAATTGCTTGAACCCAGAGGTGCAGTTTGCAGTGAGCCGAGATGGTGCCACTGCACTCCAGCCTGGGCGACAGAGCAAGACTCTGTCTAAAAAAAAAAAGAAAAAAGAAAAGAAAATACCTGGTAGGCCATTTAAACGTTATAAAGGGATTTCATTTGATTGTTATTTTCAATGCATGTTTTCTGGTTGTAAAGCTTTCTCATGCAAGATGGCTGATGTTATAACAGTAGATTATTATGCTGCAGTGTATTTTCACCAGGTAAAAAGGCTTTTTATGGTTTGGATCTTCTGAGAACATTGGAGAGTTTCCTTGCCATCCACACTACAACAAAACTTCAGGACCTTGGGCTTTGGGTTCATCACATCTCTCGGTGGGGAGATGAGGCAGGAAAATAGGGTCTGGAGGCAGTGAACATAAGGCCGATTCACACTTCAGCTGTGACAGGAAATAGCCTCTCCATAGAGTGTAGTCCAAGTAAATGACTTTGTAACTTTACTTCATCCTCTTCATTTACATAGGGCATACCCAAAGCAAAGGATATTGAAACTCCCCAAAATTTTGTAACAGGGCCTTTGAGCCCCTATGCTCAGGCCTGCTCCCACACTGTGGACTGTACTTTCATTTTCAATAAAACCCTTCATTCCTTTCTTGATTTGTTTGTGCATTTTGTCCAATTCTTTGTTCAAGATGTCAAGTACCTGGAGACCCTCCACCATTAACAGTTGGGGTGCAGCTTAGTTTTTATACATTTTTAGGAGACATGAGACTTCAATCAAATACATTTAAGATGTACATTTCTTTGGTCCAAAAAGGCGGGACCACTCAAGGTGGGTGTGCGGGGCTTCCAGGTTATTGGTAGATTTAAATATTTTCTGATTAGCAATTGGTTAAAAGACTTTATTGAAAAACCTAGGACCAATCGAAAGGAAATGTCTGGGTTAAGATAAGGGGTTGTGGAGACCAAGTTTCCTTTTTTTTTTTTTTTCAGATGGAGTCTTACTCTGTCACCCATGCTGGAGTGCAGTGGTTCAATCTCGGCTCACTGCAACCTCAGCCTCCCAGGTTTAAGTGATTCTCCTGTCTCAGCCTCCCAAGTAGCTGGGATCACAGGCGTGTGCCACCACGCCCATCTAATTTTTGTATTTTTAGTAGAGATGGGGTTTCACCATATTGGTCAGACTGGTCTTGAACTCCTGACATCAGGTGATCCACCCACCTCAGCCTCCCAAAGTGAGCCACTGTGGCCAGCCGACCAAGGTTCTTATTATGCAAATGAATCCCCCAGGTAGTGGGTTTCAAAGACAATAGATTGTAAATGATTCTTATCAGACTTAAAAAGGTGCCAGACTCTTAGCTGATTCTCTCCTGGATCAGGAAAAATGCCTGGAAAGGAAAAGGGGATTCTCTACAGAACATAGGTTTTTCAAGAGATGACTTTGCAGGATAATTTCAAAATATGGCAAGGAAATACATTTGGAGTTAAAATATTTTGATTTCTTTCATTATCTGTCATGTAATGTTATGCCAGAGTCAGGATGGAAAGCAGGCTATGTTAAATAAGCCCTTCTGAGGAGACTTTATGGTGTGTAGTGCATGACTCCCCAAACCTTTTAGGTAGGAATTTGGACAACAGAAGAAAAAAGGTCAGAGTTTAACTCTCAACACAAATAGAATAATCAAAACTCAATTGGCAAAAATTTGCTGAGCTTTGTAGAATTCCTTGTCTGAAACCTTTTCCATTGGTTTTACTTTGCCTAAACTCAACCCCTTTTGGTAAATACCAACTGTCTCCATTTGAAATTATAACAGGCAGACCTATGAAATTATTTCCAGAAAACTGTGAATCTATGGTATTAAAAGAATATGTTGAATAATTGCAACAGCTTTATAAGGCAGCCAACTAGAAACTATAATTTAGTAAAAGACTCTTTCCACAGTGACCTCCTGTAGGATGAAAAATTCTAGGACCATGGACTTCAACCAGGAGATTTTGTCTGTTGGAAATAAGATCTTTTAAAAGACTTCCTCCAGCCAAGATGAAAGGGAATTATCAGGTGCTCCCAACCAATCCTCATGCCACTAAGCTAAAAGGAATTGACTCATGTCACCCATTTAAAGAAAGCCACTTTGACCGGGCACGGTGGCTCACGCCTGTAATCCCAGTATTTTGGGAGGCTGAGGTGGGTGGATCACCTGAGGTCAGGAATTCGAGACCAGCCTGATTATCATGGAGAAACCCCGTCTCTACTAAAAAATACAAAAAAATTAGCTGGGCGTGGTAGCACATGCCTGTAATCCCAGCTATTCAGGAGACTGAGGCAGGAGAATTGCTTGAATCCGGGAGGCAGAGGTTGCGGTGAGGCAAGATCGCACCATTGCACCCCAGCCTGGGCAACAAGAGCGAAACTCCATCTCAAAAAAAAAAAAAAGAAGAAGAAGAAGAAAAAAAGAAAGCCACTTCACCAATTTGAACTTTGTCTCAAACTGGTGATCTAAAAAAATTCTCCAGAACCAACAAGAATGAGAAAAAGACAACATCTGAGATAAACAGCTTTCCTAAGACACTGGACTAATCCTGTATCTATATAAATGCTAAACATTAATAATTGTTAGTAGATGGAGAATATCTTTCTTTGAAGTTCCCACTAAATTTCTTTTTTTGTTTTTATGTCCCTAGTTCTTGGGCTTTCTTGCCACTATCAACAGTTATTGCCCATAGCAAACCTCTTCTTTCAGTGGGCTCAGGACCATGCTAGCAGATTACAGAAAAACACTTGTTGGGTATGTGGCCTCATGCCCTTCTCCAGTGGTTCTGCCTGCCATGGTGGATATCTCCTTTCCAAAGACAAGATTAGATAGAATGTCAGAAATATATCCATGTTTCTCAAGAACAGTGATCACTGCTTCATACTAGCATGACAAAGGATGACGTGCGTCACTGGCCTGTTAATAATACTATACAAAGCAAAGCACATGGGAAGAGCATTTCAGTAAAAGAGACCAATTTATTAGCTTTAATGCTGGCACTGACCCAACTGAGAGATAAAGCAACTGAATTTGGGGATGATATAATACAAATTCGGAACTGTTTTAGCTGGCTTACCTCCTCTTTTGGTCAGATTTAAGTTGGGAATGAAAGAATCACACCAAAGATACATGGCTCAATAGCACTAGAGATATGTGATGGATAACCAAGGAAATGTCTAACCACATCAGTATATCACACAGTACTGATTGACATGCCCCTGAATGGGCACAGAGAGTGGGTATTTACTGGCTAGCTCTAAATGGCTGTATCTTGGCTGTGTGGCACCAATCTGTGGTCACATTTACCCCTAGGATGGTTAGGACGGTGTTCTTTGGGTTATGCCTGGGCACAAGGTTGAGCAGTTCATATTCCTTCAAGGCCTGCAAATCTTCCTCATTTATAATATCAATGGGTTTGTTCTGTATCCCATCAGTATGATCATTTAGCTTCCATCTTTCTGCCCAACTGTGTATTGAGTATGCCATTTGGCATGTAGAGGCCCTAACCAACTATATAAAATGAGGCCCTAAATGATAGCTGCATGGTTATCTCGTTATTAAACAATGGCATTGCTCTTATGAGAAGGGCTGCAGACATACTCACTGCAGCCCAAGGAGAAACCTGTGCTGTCATAAAAACTGAGTGTTATGTCTGTACCCCAGATGAGTCAGATCATCACTAACTTAATCACCAATATGAAAGCTTAAAAAACTACCCTTTCAGATCCAATATCCTCTCTAAAAGATTGGCTGAGCAGCTGGTTTGGATCTTGCAGAATTTGGTGGTTACTTGTTCTCAAAACTATAATCCTTTGTTTTGTTTTGTCTTTACTGCTGCTGAGGCATTCTTTCACAATGTAGTCAATGCACAACTGAAAAAAACTAAAATAATTGTCATTCAAAGAATTGCATTAATTGAAGTTGTAGCCATGCAGCCTGACTCAGGTCTCAAAGCCACTTCCTTTATGTTGCTTTAAATTCAGCCTATACCCCATCAGCTTTAGAGCCTGACAAACTCCTTCTTCTGTGAGACATGACACTCTAAGAATTAGCCTTCCTAGTGATGTGGGATTAAACTCCTGAACCAAAAGGAGCCCAAACCATTTGAGTTTATCTACAAGACTTTCTTTGAAAGATCTTAATGAAAAGGGGAAAATGTGAAATTAAATAATTGTACTTAAAGCTGTCGTAACGTTAAATTATTCTGACCCTTAAGGGGGTATGTCTATACAGTCTGCTGCATTTTCTTCCTGTAAATAATTAGGAAGACCAGACAGCACCAGAGATAAGACTCCCTCAGATCACTATCCCTCCTCACCGAGTAATAATCTTCCTTGGAATGTAGCAATTTGTAACCAATCAAATCTTTGTAACTATGCACTGGTCTTGTATGGAAAGTGTAAAATTTCTCTGTCTCTGCCTACATAAGTAGGCATAATTCCCACATGTTGTGGGAGGGACCGGGTGGGAGATGATGGGGGCAGGTCTTTCCCATTCTGTTCTCGTGATAGTGAATGGGTCTCACGAGATCTGATGGTTTTAAAAATGGGAATTACCCTGCACAATCTCTCTCTTTGCCTGCTGCCATTTACATATGATGTGACTTGCTCCTCCTTGCCTTCAGCCGTGATTTTGTGAGGCTTCCCCAGCTACATGTAACTGTAAGTCCAATTAAACCTCTTTCTTTTGTAAATTGTGCGGTCTCAGGTATGTCTCTATCAGCAGTGTGAAAATGGACTAATCCATATGTGAAACCGTAACTTCTCCACTTTGGAATGCTGATTCCATTGGTTTGGAATTGGTGTTCCCAAGTGGCCATCCTCAAGCTTTCTGCTTGGATAATCTCAATGTTTAATCATATTTTCTGAACTTTATTATTTAAAGTTTATGCTCCCTATTTCTCATATCCCTCTTCTTCTCCCTAGGACCTTATCGTCCTGCCAGGATCTCAGATCCAACCTATTGTCGATAACAGTGTGAGACCCCTAGGGTTCAGAGACTCACTCCCAGATTTTTGACAGAATCTCTGGAAGATATTTTATTTCTTCAGATTCTTCAAAGAAAATCAAAAATTCAAGACAAACATTTTTTATCTTGATAATATTATTGACCTCTGGAAGGTGTTCATTGATATATCACTGGGCTGATACAGTTTACCTCTTTGGATTGTTTACCAAAGTCTCCGCAACAAAGGGAAGAAGAAAGAAGTGGATGTCAAGAAAAGAACATTCCTTCCTGTTATTAAAGTTCTACCCTGAACCAAAATATGCTGGATACCAGAATCTTTTCTGTTTTGAATCTGGAAAAATACATCCAACCTGCCTCCCCTCTACTCAATATCTCCCTCAGGTTGAAGAAGGATCACATTCTGTCTTGGTCATCTGCAAGCTTCATACCCGGAGATATGATCTAGCTCTGAATCTCTCACCTTCACAATTGTACACACTTAAAAAGTAACAGTTTACATTTTGCACACTAACAGTAGAGCTCTGGGAATCTATGAGTGCATTTGCTTTTACCAGTTTTTGCATTAAGCTAGCCTCAGACATTCAGATTTTTTTTCACACAAATGTCTTAATGACCTTCCTCCAAGTTCACACCAACCTATTTGGATACAGCTGTTAATTAGTCATCAGTGGTAGGTCCCAATTTCTATTTCAATTGCGCAGATGAAAAGTTCTACTAACAAGTTCTGCAGTGGAGAAACCTGTTTAAATGTAAGAGTTTTCCTACCAGCAGTGGTATTCAAAGTCATTTAGAAACCAATGACCATTAGACAATCTAGAAAGGGGCTGGAGAGAATATTCATTTTTCCTTGCTTCTTCATGGTCAAGTTCAAGCTTGACTATGAAGATGTCAGCTTAGGGATGTGGGAGAAAGAATCCAGGATAACAATATATTCACAACATAGGCAATTTAAAACAATACTTCCAGAGTCCCACAAGCAATCATTACACAAAAGATTTTAAGAGACTGTTTGGACACTTTATTTTTATTAAATTAAAGTCACAGATTTTTAACAAAGGTTCTCCATTTAGATCATTATAAAATTCAAAACCTGAGGAAGCCTCATCTTCTCTTTATCAGCTCACTCCAGGTGTATGTTTATTGCAGAAGGAGGTTCTATGAGCCATCAGAGAGGTCCTTATCAGTCACCTGATAACATTATGGTTGACTGTCATAAACAGCTAGGGTATTGACAAATTTTTGTTGACCTCACAGAATTTCTGAAACACTTATATTAATACTACATATCTATACAAATATAACTTAAAGAAAATTCAACATCACATCTTATTTGGCAATGTTTTCCATGTAACTTAACTACCAAGTAAGCCTAAGTAGTTTAACATATATCTTTTTGTAAGAGCAAAAAAAATTTTAAGTTTTTCCAGGAGCCCCCAAGAAAAGATCAAAGTTAGTTCAAGGTAAGAAAAAAAAAAAAAAAAAGGCCACATTTAGAATTTGATTTTGAGATGTAAAAAAAATCAAAAGGTTTTAATACTTAATTAGGATCACAGATCCTAGGATATAATCTCAGATTATTATTATATAATACTTAGCTATCTGTTTAAATAAAGTGATAATAAAATACTGTAAAGGCAAATATACAAGGTTACATAGGTGAGAACAAAAGCTAGCTTTTTTTAATATTGAGAAGAGTCAGCTTCCTTAGGTAATTAAAGACCTGATAAAGACAAGAAGCACAGAAAATTATTTTTAATAAAACACAAAAATATTTGTTTTCTAGGGAGATTACTCAGAGACAAAAAAAAACCTTTCACAATTTATTAAGAGCAGACTAACAATCTGAAAAAACATTGCCATTTTAATTTTATATTAGTACCCTTTTGACCCTAAGACTTATCATTTTTTAACTCATAGATAAATCCACTCAATCTTAGCAGCTCAACCACACAAACTCCTTTTTTGAAAATTTTCTACAACATTTTTTATTTTTTATATCCTCTCAGTTTTTGTCCGGTTTTTATCTGCTTTCCTATTCTAGAACAACCAGTCATTCTCCTTCAGAATAAAATTATTTTTTCCTGCTCCAAGAAAGGAGAAAACAACCAAAAGGAAGCTAATTCCACCACCTGCAACATCCTGGAAAACCAGAGGTCCTGAGTCTGTCCATATGACAACTTCACTGCTAGCACAACCAGCATTCGAGAAACCCAGCACACTAAACAAAACTACAACCAAGGACCCTTACAGAGTCCACTTCACTCCCCTGCTACCTCCACTGGAGCAGGTGCTGGTATCTACAGCTGAGAGAGCTGAAGATGAATCACACCACAGGACTCTTTGCAAATACTCCCCAGTACCAGCCTGGAGCCTGGTAGCTTCTCTAGGTGGCTACCTCCAGAAGAGCAATAATAATCACTGCAGTCCAGCTCTCAGGAAGCCCCATCCCTAGGGAAGGGGAGAAGCACTACATCAAGGGAGCACCCTGTGGGACAAAACATCTGAACAGCAGCGCTTGAGCCCCAGATTTTGCCTCTGACATACTCTACCCAAATGAGAAGGAACCAGAAAAACAACTCTGGTAATATTACAAAACAAGGTTCTTTAACACCCCCAAAAGATCATACTAGCTCACCAATAATGGATCCAAACCAAGAAGAAATCTCTGAATTGCCAGAAAAAGAGTTCAGGAGGTTGATTATTAAGCTACTTAAGGAGGCACTAGAGAAAAGTGAAAATCAACTTAAAGAAATTTAAAAATAATAAAGTATATGGATGAAAAAAGTCTTCAGAGAAATAGATAGCATAAATTTAAAAAAAATCACAACTTCCGATAATGAAAGACATACTTAGAGCAATGCAAAATATACTAGAAAGTTTTAACAATAGCATTGAACAAGTAGAAGAAAGAACATCAGAGATTTAAGACAAGGCTTTCTAATTAACCCAATCTGACAAAGACAATGAAAAAGGAATTTTAAAAAATGAAAAAAGCCTTCAAGAAGTTTTTGGGATTATGTTAAATGATCAAACCTAAGAATAATTGGTGTTCCCAAGGAAGAAGGAAAATTTAAGTATGGGAGGCTGAGGTAGGCAGATCACATGAGGTCAAGAGGTTGAAACCAGCCTGGCCAACGTGGCAAAACACTGTCTCTACTAAAAATATAAAAATTAGCCAGGCATGGTGGCAGGCCCCTGTAATCCCAGCCACTCAGGAGGCTGAGCCATGAGAATTATTTGAACCTGGGAGGTGGAGGTGGTAGTGAGCTGAGATCATGCCTCTGCACTCCAGCCTGGGCCACTGAGTGAGATGTGAAAGAAAGAAAGAGAGAGAGAGAGACAGGGAGAGAGAGAGAGAGACAGAGAGAGAAAGAAAAGAGAGAGAAAGAGAAAGAAAGAAAGAGAGAGCGAAAGAGAGAAGAAGGAAGTGAGGAAGGAAAGAAAGAGAGAGAGAAAGGAAGGAAGGAAGGGAGAAACAGAGAAAGAGAAGAAAGAAAGGAAAGAAAGAAAGAGAAGGAAGAGAGAGAGAGAGAGAAAGAAAAGAAAAGAAAAGAAAAGAAAAGAAAAGAGCTAAGTAAGTCTGGTAAACTTATTTGAGGGAATAATCGAGGAAAACTTCCCTGGCCTTGCTAGAGATCTAGATATCCAAATACAAGAAGCTCAAAGAACACCTGGGAAATTCATCACAAAAAGATCATTCACCTAGGCACATAGTTATCAGGTTAACTAATGTCAAGATGCAAGAAAAAATCTTAAGAACTGTGACACAAAAGCATCAGGTAACCTACAAAGTAAAACCTATCAGATTAGCAGCAGATTTCTCAGCAGAAACCTTACAAACTAGAAGGGATTAGGGTCATATTTTTAGCATCCCTAAACAAAACAATTATCAGCCAAGAATTTTGTATTCAGCAAAACTAAGCTTCATAAATGAAGGAAAGATAGTCTTTTTCAGACAAACAAATGCTGAGAGAATTTGCCACTATCATGCCAGCACTACAAGAACTGCTAAAAGGAGTTCTAATCTTGAAGCAAAACCTCAAAATATACCAAAATAGAACCTCCTCAGAACATAAATCTCACAGGGCCTATAAAACAATAATACAATGAGAAAAAAAAAAGATATTTAGGCCACAACTAGCATGATGAATAGAATAGTACCTCACATCTCAATAGTAACATTGAATGTAAATGGCCTAAATGTTCCACTTAAAAGATACAGAATGGCAGAATGGATAAGAATTCACCAACCAAGTATCTGCTATCTTCAAGAGACTCACCAAACACATAAGAACTGACATAAACTTAAGGTAAAGGGGTATGAAAATATATTCCATGCAAATGGACACCAAAAGGGAGTAGGAGTAGCTATTATAACAGACAAAAGAGACTTCAAAGCCACAACAGTTAAAAAAGACAAAGAAGGATATTATATAATGATAAAAGGACTAGTCTAAAAGGAAAATGTCACAATCCTAAATATATATGCACATAACACTGGACCACCAAAATTTATAAAACAATTACTACTAGACCTAAGAAATGAGACACACAGCAAACAATAATAGTGGGGGACTTCAATACTCCACTGACAGCACTAGACTGGTCATCAAGACAGAAAGTGAAACAATGGACTGAAACTATAACCTAGAATAAATGGACTCTTTTACAGTAGAATATTCTACTCAACAACTGCAGAATATACATTTTATTCATCAGCACATGGAACATTCTCCAAGATAGACCATTTATATGACAGGCCACAAAACAAGTCTCAATAAATTTAAGAAAATCAAAATTATATCAAGTACTCTTTCACACCAAAGTGGAATAAAATTGGAAATCAACTCCAAAAGGAATCCTCGAAACCATGCAAATACATGGAAATTAAATAATCTGCTCCTGAATGATCACTGGGTCAACAATGAAATCAAGTTGTAAATTAAAATATGCTTTGAACTGAACAATAATAGTGACACAACCTATCAAAACTTCTGGGATACAGCAAAAGTGGTGCTAAGAGGAAAGTTCAGAGCATTAAACGCTTACATCAAAAAGTCTGAAACAGCACAAATAGATGATCTAAGGTCATACCTCAAGGAACTAGAGAAACAAAAACAAACCAAACCCAAAACCAGCAGAACAAAAGAAATAACAAAAATCAGATCACAACTAAATGAAATTGAAATAAAAAAGATAAATGAAACAAAAAGCTGGTTCTTTGAAAAGATAAGCAAAATTGAGGGTTCATTAGCAAGATTAACCAAGAAAAGAAGAGAGAGAGAAGGTCCAAATAAGCTTAATTAGAAATGAAATGGGAGATATTACAACCCATACCACAGAAATACAAAGATCATTCAAGGCGACTATGAACACCTTTACACACAAAAACTAGAAAACCCAGAGAAGATGTATAAATTCCTGGAAATATACAACCCTCCTAGATTAAACCAGGAAGAAACAAACCCTGAACAGACCAATAAAAAGCAGAAAGATTGAAATGACAACTGAAAAAAATGCCAATAAAAAAATCTAGGACCAGATGGATTCACAGTTGAATTCTATCAGACATCGAAAGAAGAATTGGTACCAATCCTATTGACACTATTCCAAAAGATAGAGAAAGAGGGAATCCTCCTAAATCACCCTATGAAGCCAGTATCACCCTATTACCAAAACCAGGAAAGGACAGAACAAAAGAGGACACTATAGACCAATATCTCTGATGAACCTAGATGCAAAAATCCTTAAAAAAAATGCTAGCTAACCGAATCCAACAGCATATCAAAAAGATAATCCACCAGGATCAAGTGGGTTTCATACCAGGGATGCAGGAATGGTTTAATATATGCAAGTCAATAAATGTGATACACTACATAAACAGAATTAGAAACAAAAATCACATGTTTATCTCAATAGATACAGAAAAATCATTTGACAAAATCCAGCACCGCTTTATGATTAATACCCTTAGCAAAGTAATAAAAGCCATCTATGACAACAGTCAACATTGTACTGAATGGGGAAAAATTGAAAACATTCCCCCTGAGAACTAGAACAAAGCAAGGATGCCCACTTTCACCACGTCTACTCAATATAGTACTAGTCCTAGCCAGAGCAATCAGAGGAGAGAAAGAAATAAAGGGCCTCCAAATCGATAAAGAGGAAGTCAAACTGTTGCTATTTGCCGATGATATGTTCTTATACCTAGAAAACCTTAAAGACTCATCCAAAAAGCTCCTAGATCTGATAAATGAATTCAGTAAAGCTTCAGGATACAAAATCTATGCACACAAATCAGTAGCACTGCTATATACCAACAGTGACCAAGGTGAGAATCAAATCACGAACTCAACCCCTTTTACAATAGCTGCAAAAAATAAAATAAAATACATAGGGATATACCTACCAAGGAGGTGGAAGACCTCTATAAGGAAAACTAAAAAATACTGCTGGAAGAAATCATAGATGACACAAACAAATGGAAACACATCCCATGTTCATGGGTGGGTAGAATCAATATTGTGAAAATTACCATACTGCCAAAAGCAATCTACAGCTTCTATACAATTCCCACCACAATACCATCACCATCCTTCACAGAACTAGAAAACACAATCCTAAAATTCATTGGAACCAAAAACGAGCCCACACCACCAAAACGAGACTAAGCAAAAAGAACAAATCTGGAGGCTTCACATTTCCTGACTTCAAACTATTGTAATGCTATAGACACCAAAACATCATGGTATTGGTATAAAAATAGGCGCATAGACCAGTGGAACAGAATCAATAACCCAGAAATAAAGCCAAATACTTATAGCCAACTGATCTTTGACAAAGCAAACAAAAACATAAAGTGGGGAAAGGACACCCTATTCAACAAATAGTGCTGGGATAATTGGCAAGCCACATGTGGAAGAATAAAACTGGATCCTCATCTCTCACCCTATACCAAAATCAATTTAAGATGGATCAAAGACTTAAATCTGACACTGGAAACTGTAACAATTCTAGAAGATAACATCAGAAAAACCCTTCCAGACATTGGCTTAGACAAACACTTCATGACCAAGAACCCAAAAGCCAATGGAACAAAAACAAAGATAAATAGATGGGCCTTATTTAAACTAAAAAGCTTCTGCACAGCAAAAGAAATAATCAGCAGTGTAAACAGACAACCCACAGGCTGGGAGAAAATCTTCACAAACTATGCATCTGACAAAGGACTGATATCCAGAATCGTCAAGGAACTCAAACAAGTCAGCAAGAAAAAAACAAACAATACCATCAAAAAGTGGACTAAGGACATGAATAGATAATTCTCAAAAGAATATATACAAATGGCCAACAAACATGAGAAAATGCTCATCATCACTAATTATCGGGGAAATGCAAATGAAAACCACTATGCGGTATCACCTTACTCTTGCAAGAATGGCCATAATCAAAAAATCAAAAAATAATAGATGTCAGCATGGATGTGGTGAAAAGGGAACACTTTTACACTGTTAGCGGGAATGTAAACTAGTACAACCACTATGGAAAACGGTGTGAAAATTCCTTAAAGAACTAAAAGTACATCTACCATTTGATCCAGCAATTCCACTCCTGGGTATATACCCAAAGAAAAAGAAGTCATTATATGAACAAGACACTTGCACACACATGTCTATAGCAGCATAATTTGCAACTGCAAAAATATGGAACCAGCCCAAATGTCCATCAATAAACAAGTGGATAAATAAAATTTGTATTTATATATATATATATATATATATATATATATATATATATATATATATATATTTTTATATATATATATATATATATATATATATATATACACACACACACATACGTACACACACGATGGAATACTACTCAGGCATAAAAAGGAATGAAATAATGGCATTTACAGCAACCTGGATGGAGTTGGAGATTATTATCCTAAGTGAAGTAACTCAGGAATGGCAAACCAAACATTGTATGTTCTCACTTATAAGTGGGAGCTAAGCTATGAGGATGCAAAGGCATAAGAATGACACAACAAACTTTGAGGACTTGTGGGGAAGGATGGGAGGAAGGTAAGGTTTAAAGGACTACACATTGGGTGCAGTGTACACTGCTCAGGTGCATTAAAATATCAGAAATCACCACCAAAGAATTTATCCACGTAACCAACAACCACCTGTTCTCTCAAAACCTATTGAAATAAAAAAATTAAAAATTAAATTGAATTTTAAAAAAGGATTCCTCTCACATTTTTGTAGCTCTTTGCTATTTCCTCATATTACAATTTCTTGTTTATTAATAAATTTGAATATATTTACTTTATATCACATAAAAACAAGGTTTATAAGTGCCTACTCCTGCTTAGTAATTAACATTTCAATAGCTTATCTTATTTAGGAATGACCCAGACAGTTAATGAATATCTATGACTTAATTTAATTTAGCATAACCTTAAGGTTGCAAGTTACCAAAAGACTGAAAAGTGTTTTCAGGCAGACATATTATAAAACATAATCATTGCTGAATAGTTCATTTGTACATTTTTAATCTCACTTACATTTATGTAATTTACTTATTCTTAACAATTATATTTGTACTGTGCTGAGACCAGCTTGGCTGGGGAGACCCTAACCCAGCAGCGCTAGAGGAATTAAAGACACACACACAGAAATATGGAGGTGGGGAGTGGGAAATCAGGGGTCTCACAGCCTTCAGAGCTGAGAGCCTCGAACAGAGATTTACCCAAGTATTTATTGACAGCAAGCCAGTGATAAGCATTGTTTCTATAGATTATAGATTAACTAAAAGTATTCCTTATGGGAAACAAAGGGATGGGCCGAAATAAAGGGATGGGCTCCAGCTAGTTATCTGCAGCAGGAGCATGTCCTTAAGGCACAGATCGCTCATGTTATTGTTTGTGGTTTAAGAACGCCTTTAAGCGTTTTTCCGCCCTGGGTGGGCCAGATATTCCTTGCCCTCATTCCAGTAAACCCACAACCTTCCAGCATGGGCATCATGGCCATCACGAACATGTCACAGTGCTGCAAAGATTTTGTTTATGGCCAGTTTTGGGGCCAGTTTATGGCCAGATTTTGGGGGCCTATTCCCACCAGTACTGCTCAGGAAAATTTCATGAGACATTAAACAAAAGTAGCTATCATTCTAAATTATTTAATTTTTTTATTGTTGACATATCAGGCAAGTAGTAAAAAAAAATCACAGAAGCAAGGAAATTACAACAGCAAATATATGGTTCTTCTTTATTTGTTTTCCTCACTGCCACACTTAACATGCATCAAGCAATTTGTTCTTAATGTTGTTCTTAGGTTGGATTTATAGCTTTGTAATCTTAAACATCTAATAGAGATAACATAAGTTTGTTTGACTAGTAAACTAGGTAGAAAAAAGTGTATGTCTTTATTATGTTTAATGCTAACAGCTCTGGAAACCGTGTTTTTATTTTGTCAGCAATCTTAAAACTTTCTTTACCAAAGAGTATCACAAATTACGTGAACTTAAAAAAAGAAACGTTTGGACTCATTTCTACACCTCTGAAAGTCTTAAGAATACTTAATTGGCCGGGCACGGTGGCTCAAGCCTGTGAGCACTTTGGGAGGCCAAGGCAGGTGGATCATGAGGTCAGGAGTTCAAGAACAGCCTGGCCAACATGGTGAAACCCTGTCTCTACTAAAAATACAAAAATTAGCTGGGCAAGGTGGCACGTGCCTGTAATCCCAGCTATTCAGGGGGCTGAGGCAGGAGAATTGCTTGAACCAGGACCAGGAGGCAGAGGTTGCAGTGACCTGAGATCGTGCCACTGCACTCCAGCCTGGGATACAGAGCGAGACTCCATCTCAAAAAAAAAAAAAAAAAAAGGAATACTAAATTTATGTAAGCACTTATTTTATTCAAGCTAATTAAATAGAATGCCTTTAAGGGATTTTATATATTAATTTCATATCATCCGAAGGTAGAAAAATATCATACTACATAACATAACATGCAAACACACATATATAAACAGACAGATGCAAATAGAGATTATGTAGCTTTTGTTTTAAAATTTTACAATACAATAACACAAAGCTCGGTAGTTTATATTTTAAAAATAGCTGAATTTAAGTTGCTTCTGGAAGATGAGACAAATCTGCTCAGATGGCTAAAGTTTCTTACCAATATTTGTGGAAGAAATCTTCAGGAATTTTTATTTGCCAGTTTTTTTCTTAATAGCCTCCCCTAACCCCACTTTTGTTTCCCTTGGGTTTGGGGGTAGAAAGTAATTTTCCTGGAAGTTTGTAACTCCCTGGAAGTTTCAAAGAGATGGCTTTTTGGTCCAAGAGAAGACAGAGTAGAAGATTTACACCTCAATGGCACAGAGAAAAGATGGAAGTTTTCTTCAAGAAAGAGTTCTGCAGGAATGGAAAAACCAACACCATATGTTCTCACTGATAAGTGGGAGCTAAGCTTTGAGGACACAAAGGCATAAGAATGATACAGCAGACTTTGGGGACTTGCGGGGAAGGATTGGAGGGGAGCGAGAGTTGAAAGACTACACATAGGGTACAATGTATACTGCTCAGGTGATGGCTGCACCATAATCTCACAAATCACCACTAAAGAACTTATGTAACCAAACATCACCTGTACCCCA